>NC_000017.11:2460807-2612323 GCF_000001405.40 Homo sapiens | reverse complement strand
ACTGAGGCAGGAGAATCACTCGAACCCACGAGGCGGAGGTTGCAGTGAGTGGAGATCATGCCACTGCACTCCAGCCTGGGCGATGAGACTCAGTCTCAAAAAAAAAAAAAAAAGTGCCATTTTCCCAAAATGGCACATTTATTCAATATTCAAAGCTTTAACAAAATATCAATTATTCAACAACCGTCAAACAGTATTGGCAAAAAATAAAATACCTTTTAAATCGTCACACCAAGATACTACTAGGGTTAAACCATTAAAAACTGCCAATAATGGTTCAACCTAATAGCTATCAATGATATTTAAACATCATTAGCAAGCCTCTCAGCAGCTAGCATAAACAGCAGAACTTGCGGGTTTAGTTACCATTCTCACTAGTTTTGACCCCAAACAATTAAGCGAACACAGAGTAACCACCTCTTCTGTGACTTCATAGTACTTCATACATACACGTATTTACCACTTCTCACAATACACTGTAATTATCTGCCCTGATGTTGCCTCAACCCTTGACACACTGTTCATTGTGTCCCGACCAAACTCATGGTAATTAGTGTTTCTAAACAACTACTGTAGGCATCCTAGTAAAAACTAAGATCAAAACTTACTGTGTTCTGAGAGAGTAAAGACGTACTCTCACTCTTCTTTTTTAAAATTCAAAAGAAAAAGTAAGCGAGACTCCGACTCAAAACAAACAAAAACCAAACCTCTCCTTACATTTAATCTATGCTGAAAACCAGCATGAGTCCTGATTCACGGGTCTTCTGCTGAAGCAAATTCTAGCAATATAAAACACAGCTGTGTCCTGGACCCCTTTTCTGTATTTCTTTCTTTTTTTATTTTTTTTTTTTGCCCCGAGACGGAGTCTTGCTCTGTCACCCAGGCTGGAGTGCAATGGCGTGATCTCGGTTCACTGCAACCTCTGCCTCCCAGGTTCAAGCGATTCTCCTGCCTCAGCCTCCTGAGTAGCTGGGACTACAGGCGCACACAACCATGCTCGGTTAATTTTTGTATTTTTAGTAGAGATAGGGTTTCACCATATTGGTCAGGCTGGTCTCGAACTCCTGACCTCATGATCCGCCTGCCTCAGTCTCCCAAAGTGCTGAGATTATAGGCATGAGTCACCGCGCCTGGCCCTTTTCTATATTTCTTAATGTTTTTACCACTTTTGGATATTCTGGAAGAATATTCTCTACCCACCTTCAAATTACAGAGAAGAAGACAGACAAGGATGAAGAAGATTTGAAATTATTTTCTAACAAGAATTTTAATGTACAGTCACTCCCACAAATTCTATTCTGGGTAAAATTAGATTTTCACAGGGTAATTTAAATCCTACATATGAATGGTCTGTACTTGATGTATGGAGGTACCTGCCAAGGAGGTTAAAAAGCTGGGTTGAGGGAAACTCATCCACTCATCAGACACTGAAAGACAAATCTATCCACTCTTTCAGACTGACTCATGTGATGTGATTGGTCTCCCACACTAAGACTACTTAAATACTTGTCATCCATCTACCTTAAAGATGTTGAAGAGGATAATAATAATTACAACATAATCCTCTTTATGAGAGCCCCATGAGAAACTCTAGCCCAAGCTTGTGCTACCCACGGCCCAGGACAGCTTTGAATGTGGCCCAACACAAATTCGTAAGCTTTCCTAAAACACTGACATTTTTTTTGTGACTTTTTTTAAGCTCATCAACTATCGTTAGTGTATTTTATGTGTAGCCCAAGACAATTCTTTTTCTTCCAATGTGGCCCAGGGAAGTCAAAATATTGGACACTTCTGCTCTAGCCTGATAGTGCCAAGTGGTTAGTTATCTTTCTGAACTATCTAGTTATTTTGTATCTTAAGGACACTGTAAAAAAATAAACTACCAAGTTTTTCTCTCCTGCTGGTTCCTAGAAAGCTCAGAGTCAAATCTGTGCTCTGCCTGTAGGAAGAAAATTATAATAAACCTTTTTGGCCTACATCCTGACTTGACTTTATCTTTATCTTTTGTTTTTGTTTCTTCTTTCTCCTTACTTTTATCTGAGGCATTTTGTAGTTTTATGCATCCTCATAAATTGCTTTAAATAAGGAGTTACAAATCAAATACAGAGACCAACTTGCCAGGTGAAAGTCTGAGTCGGCTAGAAATAGAACACCAATGATAGAACTGCGTTTTCAAAGTTCAATTAAAAACAAAATTACTGGCCAGCCACAGTGGCTCACGCCAGTAATCTGACCACTTTGGGAAGCTGAGGTGGGCAAATAATTTGAGGCCAGGAGTTCAAGACCAGATGGCCAACATGGCGAAACCCTGCCTCTACTAAAAATACAAAAATTAGCAGGGCATGGTAGCACACGCCCGTAATCCCAGCGACTTGGGAGGCTGAGGCACAAGAATTGTTTGAACCCAGGAGGCAAAGGCTACAGTGAGCCGAGATCGTGCCACTGCACTCTAGCATGGGCGACAGAGCAGGACTCTGTCTTAAAATATATATATATTAAAATATTCTTCGTTTCAGCCGGGCGCGGTGGCTCATGCCTGTAATCCCAGCACTTTGGGAGGCCTAGGCGGGTGGATCACGAGGTCAGGAGTTCGAGACCAGCCTGGCCAACATGGTAAAACCCCGTCTCCACTAAAAATACAAAAATTAGCTGGGCCTGGTGGCGGGCGCCTCTAATCCCAGCTACTCGGGAGGCTGAGACAGGAGAATCGCTTGAACCTGGGAGGCAGAGGTTGCAGGAGCCGAGACAGCGCCACTGCACTCCAGCCTGGGCAACAGAGTGAGACTCCGTCTCAAAAAAAAAAATCTTCATTTCCAGAAAAATATGCTCTTTTCTACTTTTCTTGAAAACTACAGCTGTCAAGCTATACTTTTTTTCATTTTTGAAAGAAACATCATCAATAGAGAAGTATCTGTCCACCATGAACAATACAAGGGCGATAATAAACACCAACAAGGAGGACCAGCAACTTGTTCCACTGGAGAGCGTATGCTCATCTAAAGGCAGGCAGCGGGAGCCGGGCGCGGTGGCTCATCCCTGCAATCCCACAACTTTGGCAGGCCGAGGCAGGGGGATCACTTGAGCCCAGGAGTCTGAGACCAGCCCCAGCACCAGAGTGAGACCCCATCTCCAGCAGGGGGAAAAAAAAATTCAAGAAGGCAGCTGTAATTCAGCTTAGGTTAACTGCTGTCATGGGAAAATGTGGGCTGCCTGTTGACAGAGCTCCTAATTTTTCAGGATAACCAGAAAATAGAGACTTTATGTAAAACAGCTAGTTTTTAAATGTTGGCTCAAAAAAATGTTAACCATCAATGCAAAGAGAAATACAAGGCTGCCAGTATTCAACCCCTGGCTAGATAATGAATAAATATGTTTGAATGGTTGAAGAGACGGAAGAAAACAGAATGAAGTTTAGGAAATTATGGTCTAAAATTGATGCAATAATATTATCCATTCTCTTTATTCAGCTCGAAGCATAAATATTACCAAAGAACAAATATTTTATTTAATTAACCTAAGGGTGAATTCTGCAGTGCAAAAACAAACAAATCATTTTTTATTTTTAGAGATGAGGTCGCACCCGGTTGTCCAGGTTGGAGTGCAGAGGCACAAGCACAGCTCACAGCGACCTCAAACTTCTAGGGACCACAGGCACATGCCACCACATCCGGTTAATTTGTTTTTTGTAGAGACAGGGTCTCACTATGTTGCCCAGGCTGGTGCCAAATTCCTGGCCTCAAGCAATCCCCTGCTTTGGCCTCCCAAAGTGTTGAGATTACAGTTGTGAGCCACCACACCCAGCCCAAGTAAACACATCATATCATCTCACTAGCAAACACCTTCCTTATGTTCACTGCAGCATTGTCTGTAATAGTAAAAAGCTGTAAACAACCTAATTGCCCATTTCTGTAGTCTAAACATAAAGAAAATATGGTAAAAGGGCCAGGTGTGATGGCTCACGCCTGTAATCCCAGCACTTTGAGAGGCTGAGGCCAGTGGATCACGAGGTCAGGAGTTCGAGACCAGCCTGGCCAACATAGTGCAACCCCCATCTCTACTAAAAATACAAAAATTAGCCGAGCATGGTGGTGCGTGTCTGTAGTCCCAGCTACTCAGGAGGCTGAGGGAGGACAATCGCTTGAACCTGGGAGGTGGAGGTTGCAGTGAGCTGATATTGTGCCATTGCACTCCAGCTTGGACAACAGAGTGAGACTTTGTCTCACAAAAAAAAAAGAAAAAGAAAATATGGTATCATATATAAGAAATTATACAACTAAATAAACTAGATCTACATATATCAATAATGCATCTAAAAAACAGGAAAGAAAACCAAGTAGATTAATATAGATATACAGTAGAATATTCACGTAAATTCTAACAATCTATAAAGCACTACTATATATTGTTTATAGATACACCCAAATATAGTAAATGCATAAAAATATGGAACGAAGGGCTATATACAACATTTAGGAGAAACTTTACTACTGAGAAGAGGAAGGTGGACACAATTGGAAAGAAGTACAAAAGGGACATCAAGCCGGGTGCGGTGATTCACACCTGTAATCCCAGAACTTTGGGAGGCTGAGGCAGGTGGATCACTTGAGGCCCAGAGTTTGAGACCAGCCTGGCCCCAACATGGTGAAACCCTGTCTCTACTAAAAGTACAAAAATTAGCTAGGTGTGGTGGTACATGCCTGTGATCCCAACTACTCGGGTGGCTGAGGCAGACAATCGCTTGAACCTGGGAGGTGGAGGCTGCAGTGAGCCGAGATGGTGCTGCTGCACTCTGGCCTGGGTGATAGAGCGGGACTCCATCTCAAAAAAAAAAAAGAAAAAGAAAAGAAAAGGCCAGGCGTGGTGGCTCACACCTGTAATCCCAGCGCTTTGGGAGGCCCAGGCAGACAGATCATGAGGTCAGGAGATGGAGACCACCCTGGCCAACATGGTGAAACCCCATCTCTACTAAAATACAAAAAAAAATCAGCCGGGCACGCTGGTGCACGCCTGTAGTCCCAGCTACTCAGGAGGCTGAGGGAGGGGAATCTCTTGAACCCTGGAGGCCGAGGTTGCAGTGAGCGGATATTACACCACTGCACTCCACTCTGGTGACAGAGCAAGACTCTGTCTCAAAATAAAAAACAAAATACAAAAAGATATCAACTATAACTGTAATAATGCCTTCTTTAAAAAAGCTCTAGGCCAAGCGTGGTGGCTCAAGCCTGTAATCCCAGCACCGCAGGAGGCCGAGGCGGGTGGATCACAATGTCAGGAAATCGAGACCATCCTAGCTAACATGGTGAAACCCCATCTCTACTAAAAATACAAAAAGTTAGCCAGGCGTGGTGGCGGGCACCTGTAGTCCCAGCTACTAGGGAGGCTGAGGCAGGAGAATGGTGTGAACCTGGGAGGCAGAGGTTGCAGTGAGCTGAGATTGCGCCACTGCACTCCAGCCCAGCCTGGGCGACAGAGCGAGACTCCGTCTTAAAAAAAAAAAAAAAAAAAAAAAAAAAGCTCTGAGGCAAATATGACAAAATGTTAACATCTGTCAATTCTGGTAATACTTATATGGCTATTCTGTTTTACTACTGCAGGTACTTTTAACATTTAACATATTCCCTAATAAAAATAGAAAACAAATTAAACTGTAAATACACAAAATAAAATTTTAGCCAGGCATGGTGGCTCACCTGTAATCCCAGCATTTTGGGAGGCCAAGGCGGGCCTGAAGTCAGGAGCTCAAGACCAGCCTGGCCAACGTGGTGAAACCCCATCTCTACTAAAAATACAAAAATTAGCTTGGCTTGGTGGCAGGCACCCATAATTCCAGCTACTCAGGATGCTGAGGCAGAACTGCTTGAACCCAGGAAGCAGAGGTTGCAGTGAGCTAAGATAGCGTCATTGCACTCCAGCCTGGGCGACAAGAGTGAAACTTCGTCTCCAAAAAAAAAAATTAAAGAAAACTCAAAAAGCACTTTTTTTCCATTGGGCATAGGTCTCATGATAGGCTTTCTGACAGGTAACAAGTTGGATACATAAATGAAATGAAAGCCCTGAAGGGTAAGTCCTACACACATGAAGCCCTCCTGTGAAGAATTTTGGAGTCGAATAGTTAAGATTCATATATCAATCTGGCTCCTTACAAACTGTGTGACCTTGGGGAAATCTACAAATTTCCTAAGCCTATTTACCCATTTTTAAAAAGGGACTAATATACCGCCTACCTCAAACAGCTGTGGTGAAGCTTAACAAAATCGTCAATATTTAAGGGCTTGTCTAGCTTTGTATATCTCTCACCTACAGCTCAAGAATAATTTCACTTTTGTACTTTTATATACATAAGCAAAGTAAAAGACTTTGCTTCCCTAGTGTCCAAAGACAGACAACAAATCATTTTTGCCATCACAAGAAAGCAGAAAGCAAAGGTCACCTCATCTTAATCATCATCAATCATCACCATAATAACAATATTTATTGAGTACTTACTATGTTCTAGGTACCATTCCTAGGCTCTTTAAATGCATTAACTCACTTGACACGTCAGATAATACATTTTATATACGCTAGAAGAAGAGAAAAATAGGTACTTATTATAAGATTACGAACTCAGAGAAAAGAAAGTTTCTTCCAGGTGGAAAAAATTAGAAAAGACTGCCTGGAAATGGAAAACCTGGTAGGCAGATTTGAAGCGTAAGTAAGGGGGGCGCGGCAGGGAGTCAAAGCAGCAAAAGGAACAGAAAATATCTTCCCAAAGCTGAATCACAGTAGACATGGAAGGCAATAAGAAACAGGATGAAAAGCCAGGACATGTAAGAGAAGTCTTTGAGTGCCCATTTAGGATTCAATAAACACCTATTCAGTACCATAGTTTTGCCATTGTGTTCTTTGCATTTTCATTAAAGACAGTAAAAAGCTGATGATGGGTTTTTGGCAACAAAGTGACTTGAAAATTGTGGTTCAGGAACATTTATCTGGCTGCTTTATGTAATATTCTATACAACTCCTCCTCTTATTCTCTGCTATGGCTAATAACACCTCGTTTCTCAGTTCCACTCAGTCACCCAAACTACAAATCTGAATTGTTTCAACTTGCCTCTCCCCATCACACTACTCATTCACAACCGGACCTCCTAAACCTTTCTCCACTCAACAACATTTAATGTCACTGTCTTGCTTCAAGCACTAATCATTATTTTCTGAAGAAGTCTACATGACCTCCAAAATCCACATTCATTATTGCCACCTGCATAATCTCTCCAAAATATACATCATCTCATAATGCTTGTTTTTACCTGAAATTGTTTAATGACTTCCAACTTGCCTACAAGCTACACAATATACAAATTCTATCAATCTGGCTCAGACGTGCCTCTCCAACCTCAAATTCTACAATCCCCTCTGCCAAACTATTACCAGCATACATAAAATAGTTTCTCATGCTTCTGTGACTATTTATGTTGCTGTTCCCTCCACCTAAAATGACCTCCCACGTTCACTCCAATTATTTTTTTTTTGAGACAGAGTCTTGCTGTCGCTCAGCAGTCTGGAGTGCAGTGGCCGCCATCTCGGCTCACTCCAATACTCCTCCTGGGTCAAGTGATTCTCCAGCCTCAGTCTCCCGAGTAGCTGGGATTACAGGCATGCACCACCAGGCCCGGCTAATTTGTGTATTTTTAGTAGAGATAGGGCTTCACCATGTTAGCCAGGCTGGTCTCGAACTCCTGACGTCAAGTGATCCACCCACCTCAGCCTCTCGAAGTGCTGGGATTGCAGGTGTAAGCCACCACGCCTGGCCCAATTATTCATTCTTCAAGATTCAGTTCAAGTATCATCTCTTGGCTGTCTTTAGTGTGTAGATTTGATGGGCCCTGAAATAGCCTAAATGACACAGGTCACATACAAGGTATACCATAACAACTCAGGACAGCTTTAAAATACCAAGTACACTGATTTTCCTATCCATTTAATCATTTTATTAAGAATCTCAGCAGGGTGCGGTGGCTCACACCTGTAACCTCAGCACTTTGGGAGGCCGAGGCGGGGGGATCACTTGAGGTGAGGGGTTGGAGACCAGCCTGGCCAATGTGGTGAAACTCCATCTCTACTAAAAATACAAAAATTAGCCGGGTGTGGTGGCACACACTTGTAATCCCAGCTACTCGGGAGGCTGAGGCAGGAAAATCTCTTGAACCTGGGAGGTGGAGGTTGCAGTGAGCCAAGATCACGCCATTGCACTCCTGGGCGACAAGACCTCAACTCCGTCTCAAAAAAGAAAATAAAAATAATCTGGCCAGGCGCGATGGCTCACGCCTGTAATCCCAGCACTTTGGGAGGCCAAGGTGGGAGGATCACGGGGTCAGGAGTTTGAGACCAGTCTGACCAACATGGTGAAACCCCATCTCTACTAAAAATACAAAAATTAGCCGCGCGTGGTTGCGCATGCCTGTAATCCCAGCTACTCAGGAGGCTGAGGCAGAAGCACTCGAACCTGGGAGGTGGAGGCTGCAGTAAGCCAAGATCGTGCCACTGCACTCCAGTCTAGGCGACAGAGAGAGACTCCGTGTCCAGAAAAAAAAAAAAAAGAATCTGGAGAAAATTTCAAATTACCCAATGTCAATCAAGATTTTCCCCCTTCTTATGAAATTGAATAAAAACAAAAATGTGTGTGTGTATACATATATACATACTTTTTTTTTTCCTTGAGACAAAAGTTTTGCTCTTTTTGCCCAGGCTGGAGTACAGTGGTGCAATCTCAACTCACTGCAACTTCTGCCTCCTGGGTTCAAGCAATTCTCCTGCCTCAGCCTCCCAAGTAGCTGGGATTACAGGCATCTACCACCACGCTCAGCTAATTTTTTTATTTTTAGTAGAGACGGGGTTTCACCATGTTAGCCAGGCTGGTCTCGAACTCCTGACCTCAGGTGATCCACCTGCCTCGGCCTCCCCAAGTGCTGGGATTACAGGCGTGAGCCACCGCGCCTGGCCTGTATTTTGAAAAATACAAAAATTACCCAGGCATGGTGGCGCGGGCCTGTAGACCCAGCTACTCAGGAGGCTGAGGCAAGAAGACTGCTTGAGCCCAGGATTTGCAGAGTTGTAGTTAGCCACTGCACTCCAGCCTGGGCAACAGAGCCAGACCCTGTCTCAAAAAAAAAAATCATTCTTTTGTCAAAATGTATTCACTGCACTCTGTTCTGAGATACTACAAGTTGCTCTAGACAGAGAGGACAGCAGGAGTAGAATCACAAAGATCACAAAGTGGGGAGGGAGAAAGCATATATATATTAGAGTGTGAGCAAGGTGGGGCTTGATTAGAAATGAAACTTGAAGTGACTGAAGACCTAGCAAACTGTGTTAAAGTATGTGGACTATAGGAAAGAGGGAGTCAGCACAGTACGGTGGCTGAAAGCCCCAACTGTGGAGCCTCAGTACCTGAGGTTCAACTTTCAGCTCTGCTACTTACAAAGCTGTCACAAAGGGCTAGCTAAATTCTCCCAGAATGTTGTGAGGAGTAAACGAATACTTGTAAAGCACTTAAAACAGAGCCTGGCGTATTAGTAAGTGCTATGTAAATATTTGTTAAATAAATACAAAGGGAGCCAAGGGAGGGTTCTTTTTAAGTAGGGAAGTGTGATATGGTCAGATTGCATTTTAGATAGATGACTGGGGACTATGTAGCAGAAAGACGTTAACCGGACAAGACTGAATTTAGAGAGACGATGTGAAATTAGTTGGGTAAGAGATTATGTGAACTATGATGGTAGTAGTAGTAATGGTAAGTATGGATAGAAGGGGACTAACTCAACAAATATCGAGGAGGTAAAATTGGCAAGACAAGGTAATTGATTGGATATAGAGGAAGAAAGAAGAGTCAAGGTTGAGTCCCACGTAAAGTATTATTTCTAATGTTTTTAAAAGTAATATTCTTCTAAGAACTTTGGATCCTAGATGTCTTCTGTGCTAGTGACATTTGATGTCTTGGGGTTGTATTATGATGCTTCCATAAAAATGCGAACCACAGGCCTGTTTAAACTCTCAAATTGATAGGCCCTCGCTGTTTTGTTTTTTTTTTCAGTAGGTGGAGATAATTTCTCTTTAAGGACATACCATTATACAGAACACTTATTTAGCCCAAGTCGAAGAGCCAGAAAGCTTGAATAATGATTTTATTAAGTGGGGTTTTTTTTTATCTTTACGTTGGGATTTGTGATGATAAAGACTATAGCATCATGGTAATACTGTAAAAATTTTTAAGTGACTGCTGAACCATTAAAGACAAATTAAAATTTGTTAATTCTGTTATTTCCAATTTTTTCACTGTTCATTCATATATGATAAACTTTGATAACCAGAATATTTCATTACTTATTGATCCCTTTGACAAATCTTAGCTCATTTCTACATTTGTCAACTTTAAAAATATTTTTTCTTAGGCTGAGAGCAGTGGCTCATGCCTGTAATCCCAGCACATTGGGAGGTAAAGGTGAGCAGATGGCTTGAGGCAGTTTGCTTAGGCTAGGAGTTTGAGACTGGCCTGGGCAACATGGCAAGACCTCACCTCTTACAGAAAATAGAAAAATTAGGCCGGGCGCCGTGGTGCATGCCTGTAATCCCAGCACTTTGCGGGGCCGAGGCAGGAGGATCACCTGAGGTCAGGAGTTCAAGGCCTGCCTGACCAACATGGTGATACTCCATCTCTCCTAAAAATAGAAATATGAGCCAGGTATGCCGGCAGGCACCTGTAATCTCAGCTACTCGGGAGGCTGAGGCAGGAGAATTGCTTGAATCCAGGAGGCAGAGGTTGAAGTAAGCCAAGATCATGCCATTGCACTCCAGCCTGGGCAACAAGATTGGGAGACTCCATCTCAAAAAACAAAAATTAGCCAGGTGTGGCTGGGCACGGTGGCTCATGCCTGTACTCCTAGCACTTTGGGAGGCCAAGGTGGGCAGATCACGAGGTCAGGAGTTCGAGACCAGCCTGGCCAACAGAGACCCCCCATCTCTATTAAAAATACAAAAAACTTCACTGGGCAGGGTAACAGATGCCTGTAATCCCAGCTATTCAGAAGGCTGAGGCAGGAAAATCACTTGAACCCAAAAGGCGGAGGCTGCAGTGAGCCAAGATCGCAACACTGCACTCCAGCCTGGGCGACAAGAACGAGACTCAGTCTTGAAAAATAAATAAATAAATAATAAATAAATATTCATGTATGAGTTTAGTCAACAGCTTATTTCATTTTCTCTGACAATGCTAAATGTATAGCCTTTCCTCACCCATAAAAAGTTAACCAAGGCCAGGCATGATAGCTCATGCCTATAATCCTAGCACTTTCAGACACTGAAGTGGGTAGATCACCTGAGGTCAGGAGTTCGAGATCAGCCTGGCCAATATGGCGAAACCCCATCTCTACTAAAAATAAAAAATTAGCCAGGTGTGGTGGCACATGCCTGTAATTCCAGCTATTACTAGGGAGGCTAAAGCAGGAGAATCGCTTGAACCCAGGAGGCGGAGGTTGCAGTGAGCCGAGATCGCGCCACTGTACTACAGTCTGGGCAACACAGCGAGAGTCCGTCTCAAAAAGAAAAACTTAACCAAAATACTAAATAATCAAAACATCTGACTCATTTATCTCCATCTTCTTTCTTTTGTAGTTAGCATATTTTTTATAAAATAAAAATATGAAAAGAAATAGATAAAACACTAGTATATCATAGAACATATTCTTTCTTTTTTTGGTTTTTTTTTTTTTTTTTTGAGATAGTTTCACTCTTGTTGCCCAGGCTGGAGCGCAATGGCACGATCTCGGCTCACTGCAACCTCCGCCTCCCGGGTTCAAGCAATTCTCCTGTCTCAGCCTCCCAAGTAGCTGGGATTACAGGCACCCACCACCACACCTGGCTAATTTTTGTATTTTTAGTAGAGACAGGGTTTCACCACATTGGCCAGGCTGGTCTGGAACTCCTGATCACCTTCTGCCCGCCTTGGCCTCCCAAAGTCCTGGGATTACAGGCATGAACCACAGTGCCCAACCCATAAAACAAACTCTTCTATCTTTACCTTAGATTAAAAATGGATTGGGCTGGGTGTGGTGGCTCACACCTGTAATCCCAGCACTTTGGGAGGCCAACTCGGGTGGATCACTTGAGGCCAGGAGTTCTTTAGTAAAAATACAAAAATTAGCTGTCTGTGGTGGTATGTGCCTGTGGTCCCAGCTACTCGGGAGACTGAGGCAGAAGAATCGTTTGAACCCAGGAGGTGGAGGTTGCAGTGAGCTGAGATCGAGACACTGCACTCCAGCCTGGGTGATGGAGTGAGACTCTTACCTCAAAAAAAAAAAAAAAAAAAAAAAAAGGTTAAAAATGGATTAATCTGCACTGTAAAATTTTAATAAACATATAACTTTCTACAATGCTTTCAAAAATTAAATTTATTAAAATGTTCAAAGATTCTTAATTTTACTTTTGTAAAAAGTCTCAGAAAATTTTTTAATGGCCTCAGTTAACTGTCAATTCTTGTCAACATAAGAGCCCCAAAAGCAGATAATCAAAATGTATAGGTAATTTGTCCAGTTGAGTTAATTCACTTTTTATACTTAAGAATTCTGTCAAAGTGTAACCCTGTTCCCTCAGAGAATATAAAATCTCTGTATACGAAATGCAGCCACTCTTTCCTCCATCACCTTAATTCTCTTGAGATCACCGGAGTCAACTATTACAAAGATCTTTAGGATAGCACATTTCCTTTCACATAACCATTCAGTCAAATGCAACTAGTACTTATTCACTTATTAATACTATCTGTAAAGCAGTATTAGGCATTTTTTGGGAGAAGCTACTCAAATGCCAAAAGCCTTATGCATGCAAAGCAGTCAACAATACAAGACCATATGTTAATAAATGCCAATTTAAATGATGCAGGCAATAAATACCACCAACTTTCACCATTTAACAAAGATTAAGGAGTCCAATCGTTATAGAAAGAAGGAATGTGTGATTTTACAAAGCAGTACCCAAGAGTTCTGTGACTGCAATATTTACCTTATTCTAGTCACTAACCTAACATTCGACAGGAAAAGAAATTCTCTGGATTTCAGTTCTCTCATCCATAAAAATACCAATCTACCTCAAAAAGTAGCTGGCAGAAGAACAAATGAAAATCAGTACCAAGCTCAATATTTAGAAAGTTCTAGAGAAACGTTTATGACAATGTTAAAAGACAATAGAGAGTACCATTCCAGAAGTATCCTTGACAAATGCAGATTAGTCCTATCTAGGTAAGTTTCAACAAGAAGCCACCATCTTTTAAAAAGAAAACAAGAAATAAAATAATAAGTGCTTATGATGCCTGCCACCAATGAATATAAAGCATTTCATAAATATCAATTAAATTCTATGACTGCCATGCCAAGGTTAAAAATTACATATGTAACAGAAGTTAAACTAAGGTTCCATTTCAATGACTAGCCAAAAAGTGCCATGCCAAACCAGCAACAAAGAACAATCCAAAAAGCCTTCACTGCAGTTAACTATTACGCTTACATAATACAGCATCTTTCTTCATGAAATACAGATTTCTCAAAATGTTTGACCTTCAATGACGAGGATTCAATTTACAGCTAAGCATCTTCTGGAGAACGGTAGGTCTGTCTTTTTTTCAGAACTCGTATTGTATACCACTAGTTTTATTTTAAATAGAACAACTTTCTAAGTAAAAAAAAAAAAAAAGTAATAGTTGTACTGTAGATGACATAATAAAAACAGTGGCAAAGAATTTCCACTTCAAAACTTAACTATTTCCCTCTTTCCAAAGCACATAAAAATAAGTTACCTGTCATAATGAAATATTTTCGTTAACAGGGACTTAGAGGCAAGTAAAAAATATTTTAGGACCACAAGCAGAAATGGCCAGCTTGGTTTAAAACCAACCGAGCCTCAAGTCCCTTTGGCAAAAGAGCGCATGACTCACTGCTTTAGAACTCAATGGGAAGATATTGAAAATTCACTCTGCCCTAATATTTTGCTTTGGGTTTTTTAAGACATCTTCATCTTATTTTTATTTATTTATTTATTTTTTGAGATGGAGTTTCGCTCTTGTTGCCCAGGCTGGAGCGTAATGGTGCGATCTCGGCTCATTGCAACCTCCACCTCCCGGGTTCAAGCAATTCTCCTGCCTTAGTCTCCCCAGTAGCTGGAACTACAGGTGTGCGCCACCATGCCCGGCTAATTTTTTTGTATTTTTAGTAGAGACGGGGTTTCACCATGTTGGCCATGCTGGTCTTGAACTCCTGACCTCAGGTGATCCACCCGCCTCGGCCTCCCAAAGTTCTGGGAGTGTAAGTGTGAGCCACCATGTCTGGCCAGACATCTTCATCTTAATGTTGACAATTTCTATAGCATCCATGACTTATTCACAAAGATGACAAATTATGAATAACATGAACCACATGTAAACAAGAGGGTCTTATTTTTGCTGGATACTTAAAATATAAGCCATAAAGTCTCATATACGCAGACAGACAGACAGACACACACACACACACACTTTCTGTCTCTCTGTTACTTAGTATACAACTGAGAGAGAAACATTTATATTATTTTTAAAAAATAGAAAATAGGGAAGGGTGTGGTGGCTCACATCTGTAATTCCAGAACTTTGAGAGGCAGAGGCGGGCGGATCACGAGGTCAGGAGTTCCAGACCAACCTGACCAACATGGTGAAACTCCATCTCTACTAAAAATACAAAAATTAGCCAGGTGTAGTGGCAGGCACCTGTAATCCCAACTACTCAAGAGGCTGAGACAGGAGAATCGCTTGAACCCAGAAGGCAGAGGTTGCAGTGAGCTGAGATCACCCCACTGCACTCTAGCCTGGGCAACAGAGCAAGACTTCCCCTCAAAAAAAAAAAAAAAAAAAAAAAAAGACACGGATGTTCTAGCTAGAAAAGCATAAATTATGATTCTGACTTTTCCTTCCCAGAAACATCTCAAAATCTCTTTACACTAGAGATATTTTATCTGGAAAAACAGGTAACAAAAAATTGTACTAAAAAATTCCTTCCAATCTCATTAAGAGTTCTATACAGAACTATGAATAATTTTAAAAATTAATCTCCAAATTAAGCCTAAGATTCTCCAACATGTATCAAGAAACACTACATACACTTGGAACTAAAGCTCCTTAAGTCAAATTATCTTAAGCTCCTGATTAACAACAATCTACTGAAAAATCACCACTCAGTGTGTGGGGTTTTGTTTGTTTGTTTTTGACAGAGTCTTGCTCTGTCGCCCAGGCTGGAGTACAGTGGCACGATCTCGGCTCACTGCAACCTCCGCCTCCCGGGTTCAATCTATTCTCCTGTCTCAGCCTCCCCAGCAGCTGGGATTACAGGCGCATGGCACAAGACATGGCTAATTTTTTTGTATTTTTAGTAGAGACGGGGTTTCACCATATTGGTCAGTCTGGTCTCGAACTCCTGACCTCAGGTGATCCACCTGCCTCGGCCTCCCAAAGTGCTGAGATTACAGGCGTGAACCACTGCACCTGGACCTTAGTGTGCTTTGATATTCTACAAACAGTAGGAATAGGGATATGTCAGACACATAATACAGTGAATTATCATTCCCAACCTTACTCATTTCCTCACCATAATAACCCTTCTACTTTCTAATCATATTAAAAAGAACAAAAGTGTAAAAATACATCATACACTGACAAGCATTCATAAGGCTAATCAAAGTCACATTTACCACCTATATGTGAAATTCTTTTGAAGATGTCTACTCATGTGAATGCTTGATACAGGGCATTAAAATGACCTACCCTAGCTTATGGCAGTATCTCACAAAAAGGTCCCTTTCAAAGAGCAACACAAGAGAAAAGATCTGAAGGGGCTTTCATGCAAATTATCTTATCCTTTTTTCCCCACCTTTTATGTTCACTATTTTAAAATCTCAAATAGATTTACTGTTTTAAGTAAAACAATTGTAGTATTTTTCTTAGATTATTGCAGTATTCCTGTACCCCCTATTTCTTGCCAAATATTTCTGACATTAATTTATACTTATATGGCGAGAACAATAAAAAACATTAACAAGAGTGTAGATATATGTGTGTGTGTATCTTTATATATTAATATATACACACACACACACAGGGACAAATAAGGAGACAATAAGTGTCTATTTTAAAGCAGGGACATTGCTTTTTATTCCAATCATTCAATGCCCATCATGCAAAAAAGGTGGAAAACATTAGATTTTAAGACTTACGACAGAGAAATGACTTAGTTGTAGCAACCATTCATATCAAATAACCTTACAAAACATAAGCAAGAGAAAGACGCTGTGAAAGGGCAATACAGCATTTCACAGCTTCTGCTCCCTTACTCCACCCAGTCTTCTCGGCTCAATGGCTGTTCACAGCATCCACAAATATTAGCCCATTTTTTTAAAAAAGGATGTGGGGGGAGGTACCAACGTAGGGCTTGCTCCATCAAAATCAACATATACAGAAATACTTCAAGTGAAAAATTGGATTCCTTTCTGATTTTAAAATATATACCAGCCTTCAATTTCTTTTAGGAGATTCCCCCCTTCTGAGCAATCCAAACAATGATCATTAATGAACACGAAAGAAATCACCCTAAATACAGATTACTCTTCTGCTTTATTAAAAACTGCAATTTGCAACTGCTAATTATTTTGTGAAACTGTGTCCTAAAAGACACCCATTAGAGATTAAAAGCTAGCTAATGCCTTAAAACCAAATCAGAATTTTTTAAGTAAAAGCTTTTACTATATATTCAACATCACTATGACACAGTCAACAGGAAATTTTCCTGATTATGAGACTGGACCCCGCAGCAATTAAGCCGCCCTGCTGCAGCAAAAAAAAAAAAAAAAGCAAACACTCCTGTGGCAAAAAGGGAGGGATGACATTATCACTGGTATGAAAGGCCCAAGCACTGTCTCCTCCGCCCTAGCCTCGAAAAGAAATTCACACAAAATAACCCACCCCCCCAACAAAAACAGAATTGCCAAAAATGGCACAAATTGTTTGTTTGGCCTTTAAAACCTTATGAAACTCCAAGACTGTGTGCTTAAAGGAGAGATGGGAATATCAGTAATATCTCTATTTGTCCGGACTGCCACTTAAGGAAAGAGGGAGGGGGGACCTTGGCATGACATCGCCCATTGAGAACGAGACCACAAATCTGGTCCTCCTCTTCAAAGGCGTATTTTCTTAACCAAAAGACTGATATAAATTGGGCCCAAACCCCAAAAGAAAATTTCCTGCCCTCTTCCCAAGGAGTTTCTTGCTAAGTCACTGAAGAAAGGTAGCATAACATATAAAGCTATGGTACCTTGCTCTCTCCTACTAAATACGGAAAACCTCTTCCCCTCTACTGCTACGTTTAGAGGTGCAGAGTCAAAATGTGTCGACCACCTCAAAGGCATTTTCTCATGTGGGAGGCTAAAGAGGGTAAATATGCAGAGGCACTGCGTTTCCCAAAGGGGCAGGGAGATGAGATTAGACGAAGGGGAATGGCAGGGAGCCTCGAAGCTGAATGTTAACAGCATCAAAAGGCAACTCCCGACCGAGGAGCCGGTGGCAGAAAGAAAATCCTGCCAGATTCGGTGGGTGGATGCTGCGGATTGCTCGGTGGGCCGGGCTGCCTCTCCTCGGCGGGTGCTGAGGCTGGACCGCCGCACCGGGGGCCAGGGAGACGGTGGGCCACCCTCCGCTGGTCAACCCCATCTTAAGGACCAGTCGGGGACGGAATGCCTGGAAGGCCCTATGAGTGCCCCGGCGGCGCGGGGCTGAGCCGGTCCCCGAGCCGATAACTGAGGGTGGGGTGGGGACTGCGGTGCTCGTCTCCGCGGCCGGGGAGAGCAGGGCCGATCCTTTTCCCCAAGATCAGAGAGCTACCTGGTCCCCACGCCCTTCCAACCCAAGAATACTTTTCTTGCTAAGTCACCGAGGGAGGAGGGCGATCCCTTCTTGGGGAGGGCCGCGGGGCGGGGGTCGCAGAGGCGCCGGCAGCCCCCAAAGCCGGGCCCGGGAGGAGAGGAGCGAGGGCAGCGCCCTCCCCGGACAGTCCCCCTCCTCCGGGTCTCTCACTCAACGGCCGTCGCGGCCGCCATTTTGAGAGCGAGGAGAGAAGAAGAAGGAGGAGGCGGCGGCGGAGGCAGGGGGAGGGGAGAATGGGAGGGAGGGGACCGGCGCAGCCACATCGTCAGGCCGCCGGGTCCGGCCTGCAGCCGCCCGGGCGCGGTGGAGGAGACAGAGGGGAGGGCGCAGACCCGCGCCGCCTTACCGGAGCGCTGCACCGCCGCCTCCGCAGGGCCTCTTCCGTCCTTCACTCCCATCCACCGGCGGGGGAGGGGGAGGGAGAGGGGAGGGAGGAAGGAGGGAGGGAGGGAAGGAGGGGGGAGGATGGCGCGCTGGGCCCGGGCCCGGGGAGGGGGAGGGGAGGGGAGCGGGCGGGCTCCTCAGCCGTTCCGGGGCTCGAGTCCAAGCTCGGCGCTCGCGGTTTCTCTCGCTCGCGCCCGAGCGCTCCCCTCCTTCTCCTTCTCGCTCCCTAGACTCCCGTGTCGCTGCTCCTCCGCTCGCTCACTCGCTCTCCCGGCCGCCGGACTCCGCCGCCGCCCCGCCGCTCCAGCTCCGTCTGTCACAGGAGCTGCCCCAACGCCCTGACGTCACCGCGCCGCCGCCGCCGCCGCCGCCGCCGCCCCAGACCCGCCAGGAAGAGGGAGGGGCGGGCGCCGGGAGCGGAGGAGGGGCTGCGGCGCATGCGCCGGGCTGGGCCGGGCCGGGGCCGCGCTGCCTTCTAGCGGGCGGGCGGCTGAGCGGTGCCACCCGGCCGGCGGGCGAGTCTGCGTGCGAGGTGCTGCTTCTCACGCTCCGCACGCTTCTGTTAACCTTGGGAGAGGCTCTTTTTTCCCAGCCCCTCGTCTGACTTGCGGCCCCTTCTGAACTCTGGCTCTGCTCACCTCGCTGCCCTGCTTTTGCGCTCATGCGGCCGACCGCGGCGTCCCGTTGGCACCGTGTGTGGCGGGCCCCGGGAGGCGCGAGAGGCAGCGGGGCCCGGCCACCTACCGCCCCTTTCTGCCTCCGGCCTCCGAGATGATTTCCCAGTTTGGGGGGGAATGAGGGAGGGGAGTAGGCTGGCTGGCTTGGGAGGAGGAGCTGTTGAGGTTAAAAGGCAGATGGAATGCTGTCATTGTCTTGATTTGTATTATAGATTCTTAATTGGGAGGACTCGCTTTTGGATATGATTCAGCTATTCTTCTCCTTAGTCACACACAGACATCAGAGTCTCTCCAGGTCTCGAAACGGATGCCCAAAGAAAGGCCTGGAACTGTATCCCTATAAGGGATGTCTGTGTGTGTTTGCTAAATTATGGATTGAAATATTGATGACAAGAGTCGTCTTGGGGATTTGTAGTTAATTTATTCCACACAGATACCTATGATTTTTCTTTTCTTTTCCTTTTTTTTTTTTTTTTTTTTTTGAGACGGAGTCTCGCTGTGTCGCCCAGGCTGGAGTGCAGTGGCGCGATCTCGGCTCACTGCAACCTCCGCCTCCCGAGTTCAAGCGATTCTCTGCATCAGCCTCCCGAGTAGCTGGGAGTACAGGCACTTGCCACCACGCCCAGCTAATTTTTGTTTTTTGTTTTTGTTTTTGTTTTTGAGATGGAGTCTCGCTCTGTCGCCCAGGCTGGAGTGCAGTGGTGCAATCTCCACTCACTGCAGGCTCCGCCTCCCGGGTTCACGCCATTCTCCTGCCTCAGCCTCCCGAGTAGCTGGGACCACAGGCGCCCACCACCACGCCCGGCTAATTTTTTTGGTATTTTTAGTAGAGACGGGGTTTCATCATGTTGGCCCGGATGGTCTCGATCCCTTGACCTCGTGATCCGCCCGCCTCTGCCTCCCAAAGTGCTGGGATTACAGGCGTGAGCCACCGTGCTCAGCCGACCCTTGATTTTTAAAAAGCGAGATTTGGGGTTCTGAATAATTCAATATGGGCTATTATTTTAATAACAGGTTTAAATGAGATTATCTTATCATTCATTTGTATTGTCCAAGGAAGCTTTTTTCTTGAAACAGGCTTAAGCTTATGTGTACTGATTTTATTGCGTCACTTTATGTAGGTAAATATATATATATATACTGCATTTGAGAAGCAGCAGAGTTAACGAAAGAGACAACTTAGGTGTAAATCCTGGACCCCGCACTTGCCAGAAGCGCGACCTGGGGCAAATTACCATACCTCTCTTTGGCCTCAGTTTCTCAATAAAAGACACCTAATAACTAACCCGGCTTTTGTGAGAATTACAGAGGAGGTGCAGCCTGTGTAAAGTATCTTAGTTTCGTGGGGACTTATAGGTAACTCATGTAAACATTACTGTTGCTTGATACCAAAACAAGTTTCCTTTGTTCAAGAAAGGTTATCTCTGCCAGGCACAGGTTGCTAACCCCTGTAATCCCAGCAATTTGGGAGGCCAAGGCAGGGATGGGGAGGTTGGGAGGGGGGCCGTGGATCACCTGAGCCAAGGAGTTGGAGACCAGCAGGTGCAACATAGTGAAACCTCATCTCTACAAAAAAATTTTAAAAATTAGCTAAGTGTGGTGGCACATGCCTGTAGTCCCAGCTACTGGGGAGGATGAGATGGGAGGATTGCTCAAGCCCTGGAGATCCAGACCAGCCAGGGCAACAAAGCAAGATCTCATCTCTAAAAACAAAAAAAGAAAAGAAAAACAGCCGGGCGCGGGGACTCACGCCTGCAATCCCAACACTTTGGGAGGCTCAGACAGGTGGATCACTTGAGGTCAGGATTTCGAGACCGGCCTGGTCAACATGGCGAAATGCCATCTCTACTAAAAACACAAAAATTAGCCGGGCATGGTGGTGTGTGCCTGTAATCCCAGCTACTTTCGGGACTGAGGCATGAGAATCGCTTGAAGCCGGGAGGCGGAGGTTGCAGTGAGTCAAGATCATGCCACTGCACTCCAGCCTAGGTAACAAAGCCAGAGTCTGTCTCAAAAAAACAAACAAAAACAAAAACTTTTAATTAGCTGGGTGTGGTGGCGCATGCCTGGAGTCCTAGCTACCCAGGAGGCAGAGGCAGGCGGATCGCTTGAGCCCAGGAGGTCCAGGCTGCAGTGAATCATGGTCATGCTACTGCACTGTATCCTGGGCAGACTGGACCCCCATCTCTAAAAATAGGCTGGGATCAGTCGTTCAAGGCTGTAATCCCAGCACTTTGGGGTGCCAAGGTGGGAGAATCTCTTGAGCCCAGGAGTTGGAGAGCAGCTTGGGCAAGACAGGGAAACCCCGTCTCTACGGAAAAATAGAGAAATTAGCCAGATGTGGTGGTTTGGGCCTGTGGTTCCACCCATTGGGAGGCTGAGATGGGAGGATCGTTTGAGCCCAGGAGGTGGAGGCTGCAGTGAACCGAGATCACACCACTGCACTCCAGCCTGGGTGACAGAGCAAGACCCTGTCTCAAAATAAAGTTAAATTAAATAAGTAAAATGAGTAAAAAAGAAAGATTGTCTCTATCCCCTAAGTGTTCAAAGGCAACATGAGCCAATTGCATGAAGGCCTTGGGTTTTTGCCTCATGAAGATTTGCCAGAGATGAATCAAATTGTCTTAGAAAGTCTTGTCCAGTTTTACATTTCTGGGATTTTCAGATAAGGACAATAAAATGAGGCATAGAGCTTTGGTCTGTGCTATTGCTTGGGTTCAATAACAGTCAATAAACATGCAATAAATTAGCATCCCTTTGTTCTAAGAATCCACCCTCCCTTCATTTTTACCTTTTAAAATATTTATTATGGTCTGATATCATGCTACTTAATATTTAATTAGCTGAGTAAATCAGTTCCTTATTTTTTAAACGAATGCTCTAAAAGTAAATAAAATTGCCCAGAAAGAGATCAGAAACACTTTTATAAACACTGACTTCATACAAATAGGTAGCACTAACTCCTATAAACCTTGAGCTCACAGACTCATATTTAGAAAGATTTAAAATCTATATGATGTAATTATGCACTAAATTTATATCAAATTTTATTTCTATAGTGGTCCTTCAAAAAACAATAAACTCCCTTTGTGGTAAGGTATAAAACTTTCTCCCTGGATTATGATTTTTCTGAACAGAAAACGGTTACGTGCTTACCTTGATGTGAAGTGATGTGTTACGGTTCTATGCACCTTCCCTTCAGTTAGCTGCTAGGATGATAGATCTATCTTTTTTTTTTTTTTTTTTTTTTGAGATGGAGTCTCACTCTGTCGCCCAGGCTGGAGTGCAATGGCATGATCTCGGCTCACTGCAACCTCTGCCTCCCAGGTTCAAGCGATTCTCCTGTCTCAGCCTCCATAGTAGCTGGGATTACAGGCGTGCGCTATCACGCCCGGCTAATTTTTTTTTGTATTTGAGTAGAGACGGGGTTTTACCATGTTGCCCAGGCTGGTCTCGAACTCCTGAGCTCAAGCAATCCACCTACCTCAGCCTCCCAAAGTGCTAGGATTACAGGCGTGAGCCACCACGCCCGGCCTGATAGATCTATCTTAATAAACACTTGTCTATTGAAAATGTAGAATTAGGACATCTGTGCTATCAATCAGAATTTGTAAGGACTTATACAGAACTTACTATATCCATCCAGGAAACGTTTAATAATGGACATTTCAGATGATGTTTCTTGAAAAAAAATAAGTATAAACATCCATTTTACTTACCACAATCCAAGAATCTCCCTGTTCATTTTAATTGCAGATCTTTATTTTTCCAGTAGACATTTTCAAAATGGAAACATAAACATTTATTTATTGATTTATTTATTGAGACGGACTCTCACTGTGTCACCCAGCCTGGAGTGCAATGGCACAATCTCAGTTCACTGCATCCTCTGCCTCCCGGGTGAAGCGATTCTCCTGCCTCAGCCTCCTGAGAAGCTGAGATTACAGGCGCCCGTCACCATGCCCAGCTAAGTTTTGTATTTTTAGTAGAGATGGGGTTTCACCACGTTGGCCAGGCTGGTCTCGAACTCCTGACCTCAGGTGATCTGCCCACCTCAGCCTCTCAAAGTGCTGGGATTACAGGCGTGAGCCACCACGTCCAGCCTGGAAACATTTATTTCAATTGCTGCAGTAAAATTAGTGTCAGTTTAAACAATTCTGCAAATAAGCTGACTGGAAGAAACACTCCAAAAATACTTCTATTGGGAAAAGGACAAAAAGTCTTCTAAAGGTATCTCCAGAGCAAAAGTCTGTTTATGATAAGGGCAAATGTTAAAGTGTTGTTTTGAGAAATTAACTGTCCTCTATAATTTATAGGCAAATGTACATTGTTATGTGTGCAAATTTGATAGAAAGCAATTAGCAAGTTGTGAGAAGGGAGCTTTTGGGCATCCAAGTTATGTGAATCAAGGTCCCATTTAAAGGAGAATCACGACCCGCCTGTCATGCGACTCACTCTGGGAGATTATAGCTAGTTATTGTGTGTACCTGCATTTCCCCAAGGCATGGATATGTCAGCGAGGGCAAGTCCAACTAGACCCGTCCTTCCTCATCTCAGCATCATGACATCCACCTGTGTCATGGACACTGTGAGTCCATAAAAACAAATTAAAGGCTCTTAACAGAGTGAAACTCAGCCTGGACATAGAAGGAATATTTAAAAAGCAGCACTTGCCGGGCGTGGCGGCTCACGCCTGTAATCCCAGCACTTTGGGAGGCCGAGGCAGGCGGATCAGCTGAGACCAGAAGTTCGAGATCAGCCTGGCCAGTGTGGCAAAACCCATCTCTACTAAAAATACAAAAAAAAAAAATTACCCAGGTGTGGTAGCCCGAGCCTGTAGTTCCAGCTACTCAGGAGGCTGAGGCAGGAGAATCGCTTGAACCCGGGAGGTAGAGGTTGAGGTGAGCCGAGATCGCTTCACTCCAGCCTGGGCGATAGAGCGAAACTCAGTCTCAAAAAAATAACATTAATAAAATTAAATATATATACATATATATGTGTATATATATATACACAGACATGATCCTTAGAAACATATATATAGTATATATATACACATATATATGTTTCTAAGGATGTCTGTATATATATACACATATCTATGTTTCTGAGGATCATGCATGTATATATACACACATATATGTATATGTAACATACGTATATGCTACATACATGTAACTATGCGTATATGCTACATATATGTAACTGCTACATATATGTAACTATGTGTATATGTTACATATATGTAACTATGTGTATATGTTATATGCATGCTTATATGTTACATATATGTAACATGTATACGTTTGTGTATTTCTAAGAATCATATATATACATATGTGTATATATACATATATGTGTGTATGTTTCTCTATATATAGAGAGAAACATTCATATATATATGTATGTATGTTTCTAAGGATCATGTCAGCGAGTCAGGATTCCTGATCCAGAGACAATGGCCCTAATGGGATGGAGCCTGGAGACGTCATAGAGAGTAACTGGAATGAGATTGTAGACAGCTTTGATGACATGAACCTCTTGGAGTCCCTTCTCCGTGGCGTCTACGCCTATGGTTTTGAGAAGCCTTTGCCGTCCAGCAGCGAGCCATTCTACCTTGTATCAAGGGTTATGATGTGATCACTCAAGCCCAGTCTGGGACTGGAAAACTGCCACATTTGCCACATCAATTCTGCAACAGATTGAATTAGATCTAAAGGCCACCCAGGCTTTGGTTCTAGCACCCACTCGGGAATTGGCTCAGCAGATATAGAAGGTGGGCATGGCACTCGGAGACTGCATGGGTGCCTCCTATCACGCCTGTAGAGGGGGCACCCACGTGTGTGCTGAGGTGCAGAAACTGCAGATGGAAGCTCCCCATATAATTGGGGGTACCCCTGGCCCTGTGTGTGATATGCTTAACTGGAGATACCTGTCTCCCAAATACATCAAGATATTTGTACTGGACAAAGCTGATGAAATGTTAAGCTGTGGATTCAGGGACCAGATCTATGACATATTCCAAAAGCTCAACAACAACATCCTGTTTGCTGTCAGCTACAATGCCTTCTGATGTACTTGAGGTGACCAAGAAATTCATGAGGGACCCCATTCAGATTCTTGTCAAGAAGGAAGAGTTGACCTGGAGGGTATCCGCCAATTCTACATCAACGTGGAATGAGAGGAGTGGAAGCAGGACACCCTGTATGACTTGCATGAAACCCTGACCGTCACTCAGGCAGGTGTCTTCATCAACACCCGAAGGAAGGTGGACTGGCTCCCCCGAGAAGTTGCATGCTTGAGATTTCACTGTCTCTGCCATGCATGGAGATAAAGGTCAAGAGGAACAAGATGTGATCATGAGGGAGTTTTTGTTTTGTTTTGTTTTTTTGCTTGTTTGTTTTTGAGATGGAGTTTTGCTCTTGTTGCCCAGGCTGGAGTGCAATGGCGTGATCTCAGCTCACTACAACCTCCGCCTCCTAGGTTCGAGTGATTCTCCTGCCTCAGCCTCCTGAGTAGCTGGGATTACAGGCATGCGCCACCACGCCTGGCTAATTTTGTACTTTTAGTAGAGATGGGGTTTCTCCATGTTGGTCAGGCTGGTCTCGAACTCCTGACCTCAGGTGATCTGCCCGCCTCGGCCTCCCAAAGTGCTGGGATTACAGGCGTGAGGCACCGTGCCTGGCCAATGAGGGAGTTTTGTTCTGGCTCTAGCAGAGTTTTGATTACCACTGACCTGCTGGCCAGAGGCATTGCTGTGCTGCAGGTTTCTTTACTCATCGACTATGACCTTCCCACCAACAGAGAAAACTATATCCACAGAATTGGTCGAGGTGGACAGTTTGGCCGTAAGGGTGTGGCTATTAGCATGGTGACAGAAGAAGACAAGAGGACTCTTTGAGATATCGAGACTGTCTACAACACCTCCATTGAGGAAATGTCCCTCAATGTTGCTGACCTCATCTGAGGGGCTGTCCTGCGACCCAGCCCCAGCCAGGGTTCAATCTCAGGGGACTGAGGAGCAGCAGGAACGGGGAGGGAAGGGAGCCAAGGAATGGACATCTTGTTATTTTTTTCTTTGAATACATGTCACTTTTTGAGGCAATTTGAGGCAATTATTTTGAGGCAATTATATATATATATAATTTTGATTTATATATATTATATATAATATATATAATTTTGATATATATTATATAATATATAATTTTGATTTATATTATATATAATATATATAATTTTGATTTTTATATATTATATAATGTATATAATTTTGATATATATATAATTTTGATTTATATATATAATATATATAATATGTGAGGCAATTATATATATATATAATTTTTGAAGTTTTAATATGGAGAAACATAGTACAAAAGGATGTATCAAATTTATTTGGCATGTCACCACATAAACCAGGCAAAGGGTAGAACAGACTTTCTTTTCTTTTCTTTTTTTTTTTTTTTTGAGACAGAGTCTCGCTCTTGTTACCCAGGCTGGAGTGCAATGGCGTGATCTCAGCTCACTGCAACCTCCACCTGCCAGGTTCAAGCGATTCTCCTGCCTCAGCCTCCCAAGTACCTGGGATTACAGGCATGCACCACGACGCCTGGCTAATTTTGTATTTTTAGTAGAGACGGGGTTTCTCCATGTTGGTCAGGCTGGTCTCAAACTCCTGATCTCAGGTGATCCACCCACCTCGGCCTCCCAAAGTGCTGGGATTACAGGTATGAGCCACCATACCTGGCCAGGTAAAATAAACTTTCTGTCCCTTTCTGCTAGTTTTATTTAACTAGTGGAGTAAGAGATTAATTCTCACCTAGAAGGCTTAAAGGAGATTTTATGAAGGAGTGATTTAAAGTAGGACTGTACAGGCGTAAGCCACCACATCTGGCCAAAGGTGTAACTGTTAAAGTCAGTAGCAACAGCCAGGCACAGTGGCTCATGCCTGTAATCCCAGCACTTTGGGAGGTCAAGGCGGGAGGATCATCTCAGGTCAGGAGTTCGAGACCAGCCTCGCTAACGTGGTGAAACCCCGTCTCTATTAAAAATACAAAAATTAGCCAGGCATGGTGGAGTGTGCCTGTAATCCCAGCTACTTGAGAGGCTGAGGCAGGAGAATCACTGGAACCCGGGAGGCAGACGCTGCAGTGAGCTGAGATTGAGCCACTACACCCCAGCCTGGGTGACAGAGCAAGACTCTGTCTTAAAAAAAAAAAAAAAAAAAAAAAAAAAAGCCGGGCACAGCGGCTCACACCTGATCCCAGCACTTTGGGAGGCTGAGGTGGGAGGATCATAAGGTCAGGAGTTCAAGGCCAGCCTGGCCAACATAATGAAACTCCATCTCTACTAAAGATAAAAAAAAAAAGAAATTAGCCAGGCATGGTGGCTTGCGCCTGTAATCCCAGCTACTCGGGAGGCTGAGGCAGGAGAATTGCTTGAACCTGGGAGGTGGAGTTTGCAGTGAACCAAGATCTTGCCATTGCACTCCAGCCTGGGTGACAGGGCAAGATATGGTCTCAAAAATAAAAATAAAAATAAAATAAAATCAGGAGCAAGACAAGGATGTCATCTATTACTATTCATAGTAACAACTGCTCTCAAAATTCTAATCTAATGCAATAAGATAAGAAAAAGAAATGACGGAATTGGAAAGGAAGAGACACATTACTTTCCTCTTTTTTAGAGGAATAAATATTCATAAAAAGTTAAAATGGCTGGGTGCGGTGGCTCATGCCTGTAATCCCAACATTTTGGGAGGCCGAGGCAGGTGGATCACGAGGTCAGGAGTTTGAAACTAGCCTGACCAACATGGTGAAACCCCATCTCTACTAAAGATACAAAAAAGTAGCCAGGCATGGTGGTGCGCGCCTGTAATCCCTGCTACTCTGGAGGCTGAGGCAGGAGAATTGCTTGAATCCAGGAGGCGGAAGTTGCAGTGAGCTGAGATCTCGCCATTGCACTCTGGCCTGGGCGACAGAGTGAGATTCCGTCTCAAAAAAAAGAAAGAAAAAAAGTTAAAACAACATATAAACTAAAGAGTAAACATTCCTGTTATTCTATTTCATTTCTCAGAGGTAATCACCTTCAACAGTTCGATGTGTCTTTTTCAGACACTTTTCTATGCATATTTAGGCATATATATTTCTGAGTGTATATACATGGATTTTTAAAAATAAAACTGGGATCATAAAATACTATTATCCTGCAACATACTTTATCAACTTAACAAAATCGCATGGACCAATTTCCAGTTTGGTACTAGCGATCTACCTTATTCTCTTCAGTGGATGCACAGTATTTCATAGTATTAGCTACTGTAATTTATTTAACCATTTCTTTTTTTTTTGAGACGGAGTCTTGCTCTGTCACCCAGGCTGGAGTGCAGTAGCGCGATCTCGGCTCACTGCAAGCTCCACCTCCCAGGTTCACTCCATTCTCCTGCCTCAGCCTCCCGAGTAGCTGGGACTACAGGCGCCTCCCACCACGCCCGGCTAACTTTTTTTTTTTTTTGTATTTTTAGTAGAGATGGGGTTTCACTGTGTTAGCCAGGATGGTCTCGATCTCCTGACCTCGTGATCCACCCGCCTCGGCCTGCCAAAGTGCTGGGATTATAGGCGTGAGCCACTGTGCCCGGCTTTTTTTTTTTTTTTTTTTTTTGGAGACAGTCTTGCTCTGCTGCCCAAGCTGGAGCGCAGTAGTGCGATCTTGGCTCACTGCAACCTCCGCCTCCCAGGTTCAAGCTATTCTCCTGCCTCAGCCTCCTCCTGAGTAGCTGGGACTACAGGCACTTGCCGCCTCACCTGGCTATTTGTTTTTTTGTTTGTTTGTTTGTTTTTATTTTGTTAGTAGAGACGGGGTTTCACCATGTTGGCCAGGCTGGTCTCGAACTCCTGAGGTCAAGTAATCTGCCACCTCAGCTTCCCAAAATGCGGGGATTATAGGCGTGAGCCACTGCACCTGGCCTGTTTAACCATTTCTTACTGATGAATTTTTTATTTTATTTTAATTTTTGCTCTTAAGGAAAATTTCTTAATGAATACCTTTATCCGTGTATCTTTGCTCACTTGTGAAGAATAATCTCCTAGAAGTGTAATCAGTAGGTGAAAGGATATGCAATTTTAAATTTTTCACAGCCTCAAATTATCCTCCAAAAATACTTACCAATGTATACTCATAGGGTTTGAGAACATCCATTTACCCCCATTCTTACCAATGCTGAAACATAAATTCTTGCGACTTTGCTCATCTAGTAGATGAAACACACACAAAAAAACCCCAAAGATTATTATTATTTGTAGATTATATGCTCACTTTCCTGGAAAACTCAAGAAAATCACTTAAAAAAAAGAAAATTAATAAATAAACCGTAGAGCTGTGTGTGTGTGAAGGAAAGCAATTTTATGCTTAGGCAAGTGTATACATTATATTCCAGAGGGCAATTTCTCAGTATGAAGTGAGTCAAAAACATTGGCCGAGGCAGGCAGATCACCTGAGGTCGGGAGTTCGAGACCAGCCTGGCCGACATGGAGAAACTCATCTCTACTAAAAATACAAAATTAGCCGGGCGTGGTGGCGCGTCCCTGTAATCCCAGCGACTCAGGAGGCTGAGGTAGGAGAATTGCTTGAACCCGGGAGACGGAGGTTGCCGTGAGCCAAAATCGCGCCATTGCACTCCAGCCTGGGCGACAAGAACGAAACTCCGTCTGAAAACAAAAAACAAAAAACAACATTAAAAAATGCTTCTCTTCTGACCCAGCAACGCAAAATCCAGAATTTTTTTTTTTTTTTTTTTGAGATGGAGCCTCGCTCTTGTCACCTAGGCTGGAGTGCAGTGGTGCAATCTCAGCTCACCACAACCTCCACCTCCCAGGTTCAAGGGATTCTCCTGCCTCAGCCTCCTGATACCTGGATTACAGGCACCCACCACCACGCCTGGCTAATTTTTGTACTTTTAGTAGAGATGGGGTTTTGCCATGAAGTCCTGACCTCAGGTGATTCGCCCACCTTGGCCTCCCAAAGTGCTGGGATTACCAGCATGAGCCACTGCACCGGGCCCAGAATTTTTTTTTTAGGAAAATAAGAAAGTGTGCAAAGATTTATCTACAATAATTTTTACTGAAGCATGGTTTATTGCTATGAAAAATAAAAAACAACCTAGTTGTCCAACAATAAGGGAGTGGTTAAACAAACGATGGTCCATCCACAAACACTACACATCTATTCGAAGTTATCTTTTTTCTTTTTTTTTTTTTTTTGAGGCAGAGTCTCGCTCTGTTGCCCAGGCTGTAGTGCAGTGGCGCAATCTCGGCTCACTGCAAGCTCCGCCTCCCAGGTTCACGCCATTCTCCTGCCTCAGCCTCCCAAGTAGCTGGGACTACAGGCGCCCGCCACCATGGCCAGGTAATTTTTTGTGTTTTTAGTAGAGACGGGGTTTCATTGTGTGACCATGCCCGGCTAATTTTTTTTGTATTTTTTTAGTAGAGACGGGGTTTCACCATGTTAGCTAGGATGGTCTTGATCTCCTGACCTCATGATCCACCCGCTTCGGCCTCCCAAAGTGCTGGGATTGCAGGCATGAGTCACCGCGCCCGGCCTTTTTTTTTTTTTTTTGAGACGGAGTTTTGCTCTTGTTGCCCAGGCTGGAGTGCAATGGCACGATCTTGGCTGACTGCAACCTCCGCCTCCTGGGTTCAAGCAATTCTCTTGCTTCAGCCTCCCAAGTAGCTGGGATTACAGGTATGCACCACCACACCCAGCTGATTTTGTATATTTAGTAGAGATGGGGGGTTTCACCATGTTGGTCAGGCTGGTCTCGAACTCCTGACCTCAGGTGATCCGCCCGCCTTGGCCTTCCAAAGTGCTGGGATTACAGGCGTGACCCACCACGCCGGGCCTGAAGTTATCTTATAGATTAAAATTTGTTGACAAGTTAATATTTTCAAACTATAGCGTTCAATGAAAAAGTCACAAAACAGTTTGTGCAATATGATAACGATAAAAATGTAAATAAGTAGTTCTCAATTGCCCGTTAACTTTAGTTTGGTCAAATGTAGTCTAGTCTAAGGGTAAATTCTTTTTGAAGCTCAAGTGAAAATGCCTATCCAAATGTAAGCTTAACTAACACTGACATCCAAGCTAAGCTACCAGGACTGCATGCAAATATAAAACTCAGAGATGATCCTGGCATAAAAAGAAATGCCTGTTCTGGGACCTTAAAATTAGGCTTCTTAATGAAATTAACAGCTGTTTGAAAAACATCTCTCTGCTTGTTTACAAAGATCACAAGCTTTGCCAGGGTATCTCAGGATTGTTTTAAGCGTCCCCAGGGATCCTGGGAGCCCCATATTGCTTTTCTCATTTAGACGCTTACCCAGTGGTTGGAAGAATCCAAGCAAGATGCTTTCAGCTAAACATTGCAGTGTCCTCGGCAAAAAGGAGGGCCAGTGTTAGCTCTGTGACAATTCCCTGTTTTCCCAAACCATGAATCAGCCCCATTGTCTCACCCGCCTCTGTGCATCATTCATTCTGTTCATCCCAGCTAACGGCAAAGGCAGGAACATGGCAGAGAAACTAAAACTCCTATTTAATTCTGCTGGTAAAGAGAGTCAGGATTTCTCATGGGCTGCTTTGGAGAAATGTCTGGAAATGTGTCAGAAAGCTGATTTTATGGAAGGTTCATTTATTTACAGTAAACTTAAATGTACTATAAATTCCTAATTTACAAACAAATACCTGGCAATTGACCAGCATTTTTCATCCGAAGGTAAGAAGCCTCCAAATGTGAATATATAAGCATTTTCTGGCACGATATCATGTCAGTTTTTTTCCTCCCCTCCTCCACTGCCTTTTCTTCCTCCCAGTTTCTCCTCTCTGCTCCTTCCCAGCTGGAAACAAATGATAGTTTAACCTGGATAATACCCTCCCTTGTTCACTTTGTATAGCTAATGTTCACTCAGCTGGCCTAAACCTTTCATGCGATTTATTTTATAAGGAACAGAAGAGGGGAGGATTCCGTCTCTGGCTCACAGCACCCATTGCCAAGAAAGTCAGCTCTGCTTCTCAGTCCCCATGGGCTGGGTCCAAGACTTGTCTTTCTACTCCATGATAACTCTTTTTACCTCTATTGTGGTAGGTAGGACTCTTTGGTTCTAAAGAACAGAAACCCATTTGAGTGAGCCTAAGGGAAAAAAAAAGGGCAGTTTTGAAAGGATAGAGAGGTGCTTTCATAGCACTGATGGACAGGTATGCAGCAGGGTCCTGAAAGCATCTGGAACCAGGACCAGCAAAGCAATCTTTGTCATTTCTTTTCTTTTCTTTTTTTTTTTTTTTTGAGACGGAGTCTTGCTCTGTTGCCCAGGCTGGAAAGCAGTGACACGATCTCGGCTCACTGCAACCTCTGCCTCCCGGGTTCAAGCGATTTTCATGCCTCAGCCTCCCAAGTATATGGGATTACAGGCATGGGTCATTATGCCTGGCTAATGGCTCACACCTGTTATCTCAGCACTTTGGGAGGGTAAGGAGAGCTGATCACTTGAACCCAGGAGTTGGAGACCAGGGCTAGCAAAACCCCAGCTCTTTGAAACAAAGACAAAAATTAGCTGGGCATGGTGGTGTGCACTTGTAGTCCCAGCTACTCGGGAGGCTGAGGTGGGAGGATTGATTGAGCCCAGAAGGTCAGGGCTGTAGTAAGCTGTGATCCTGCCGCTGCACCCCAGCCTGGGAGATAGAGCAAGAGCCTATCTCAAAATAATAATAATAATAATAATAATAATAATAATAATAATAATAACTTTAAAAATATAGTAAACTGCCTATTTTCCAAAGTGGCTGTACCCTTTTCACATTCCCACTTGCAATGTATATGTATGAAACTTCCAGTTATTCTGTATCCTCTACAACATTTCGTATTATGAATTTATTTAATTTAATTAATTAATTTATTTATTTTGAGACGGAGTCTCGCTCTGTCACCCAGGCTGGAGTACAGTGGCAAAATCTCGGCTCACTGCAAGCTCCGTCTCCCGGGTTCACACCATTCTGCTGCCTCAGCCTCCCGAGTAGCTGCGACTACAGGCACCTGCCACCATGCCCGGCTAATTTTTTTCGTATTTTTTTAGGAGAGACGGGGTTTCACCGTGTGAACCTCGTGATCCGCCCGCCTTGGCCTCCCAAAGTGCTGGGATTACAGGCATGTGCCACCACGCCCGGCTTATTTTTATTTTAACCACTCTAATAAGTACGTGGTGGTATCTCATTATGGTTTTAATTTGCACCCGATGGCTAATGACATTGAACTTTTTTTCATGTACTTGCCATCTTTTTCTCTTACCTAGTGGAGATCTATTTATATATTTTGCCCACTTTTTTCCTTTTTTTAATTTTTAATAGAGATGGGGGGAGGTCTCACTATGTTGGCCAGGCTGGTCTCGAACTGTTAGCCTCAAGTGATCTGCCCGCCTCAGCCTCCCAAAGCACTGGGATTACAGATGTGAGCCACCACACCCAGCCCCGGATACAAAGCTTTTATCAGATGTGTGTTTTTAAAATATTTTCTTTCAATTTGTGTCTTGTCTTTTCATTTTCTTAACAGTGTTTTTGGAGGGCAGAGGTTTTCATTTATTGAGTCTAATTGAAACATTTTTTACGGTTCATGTTTTTTGTGTGTCTTATCTATGAAATTTTTGCCTGTCCATAAGTTATAAATATTTTCTTCTGAAAGTTTATAGCTTTAAGTTTAAATTTAGGGGTATGATTCATTTCAGGTTCATTTTTGTATATGGTACACATTATGGATCATGGTTCCCTTTCTTACATATTAATATCCAATTGTTCCAGCACCATTTGCAGAAATCAACTTGTTCTTAACTACCACATTATGTTGTATACAACAGTTATCCTCCCTATTTGTACCAAAGTCTGGTGAGGTTTGTGGATATACAAGTGACACACTTCGCTATTCTGTACAATTTGCAAAGTACTGTCTATTTAATTACATAATTTCATTTGAATCTCAATTAGCCCTTTGAGGTAGAAATAAAATATTATTACTTCCATTTTTCAGATGAAGAGATGGAGAGTAGCTGGGTGCTTTGCCCAAGATGACAAAGCATTCAGTGAGAGCATCAGGATTGAAACCCAGGTCTTCTGCAATCAGTGCTATTTTCTTGTTTTTTTTTCTTGTTTTTTTTTGTTTGTTTGTTTGTTTTGGCGGGGGACAGTGTCACTCTGTCGTCCAGGCTGGAGTACGGTGGCATGATCTTGGCACACTGCAACCTCCGCCTTCCGGGTTCAAGCGATTCTCCTACCTCAGCCTCCTGAGTAGCTGGGATTACAGGCACGTGCCACCATGCCTGTACTTTTAGTAGAGATGGGGTTTCGCCATGTTGGCCAGGCTGGTCTCGAACTCCTGACCTCAGGTGATCCCCCTGTCTTGGCCTCCCAAAGTGCTGGGATTACAGGCGCGAGCCACCACGCCGGGCCAAGCTGCATTTTCAAAGATCCAAGCTGTTCCTAAAAATAGACTCTACTTGGGAGCCCTGGAAGCAAAAGTTAATGCTCACTACTTAATTTTGAGTTTACTGCACCTTGAAGACTGGAAAGGTACAGAGATTTGGTGCAGCTGGGATCTAAGATTTGGTGCAGCTGGGATCTGAGAGGGTGGTCATTTGGGCTGCCCACAAGAAGTGGTCTCCTGTTTCCACCCTGCTATATGAACTGGCCATGGTCATGCAAACTTTATTTTACAAAAACGTAACTGGAATTATTTTCTTTAAAACATTCCTGGTTGGCCAGGAGCAGTGGCTCACACCTGTAATCCCAGCACTTTGGGAGGCAGAGGCGGGTGGATCACGAGGTCAGGAGTTCGAGACCAGCCTGGCCAACATAATGAAACCTCGTCTCTACTAAAAATACAAACTATTAGCTGGGCGTGGTGGCGGGTGCCTGTAGTCCCATCTATTTGGGAGGCTGAAGCAGAAGAATCGCTGGAACCCGGGAGGTGGAGGTTGCAGTGAGCCGAGATTATGCCACTGCACTCCAGCCTTGGCAACAGAGTGAGACTCCATCTCAAAAAGAAAACAAAACAAAACATTCCTGGCTGAGCGCGGTGGCTCACACCTGTAATTCCAGCACTTTGGGAGGCCGAGGCTGGCGATCACCAGGTCAAGAGATCAAGATCATCCTGGCCAACATGGTGAAACCCCATCTCTACTAAAAATACAAAAATTAGCTGGGCATGGTGGCAGGTGCCTGTAATCCCAGCTACTCGGAAGGCTGAGGCAGGAGAATCGCTTGAACCCAGGAGGCAGAGGTTGCAGTGAGCTGAGATCACGCCACTGCACTCCAACCTGGGTGACAGAATGAGACTCCATCACAAAATAAATAAATAAATAAATAAAAATAAAAATAAAAAATAAAAAAATATCCTGAACTTCAAATAGTCCAAATATCAGAGCAATAAACGGATTTGCTTTATGTTTTGGGTTATTTCCCCAGCCTCGTAGCCACGTCTTTTCTCTGGGAAGCATACCCACAGATTACATCACTAGAGTGGGTTCTTGGGAGCCATTTTGCTTCTATCTGACTCTGCCTCCCTGGCCATGGCTGCATGGCATGGACCACAGCCCCAACTCAGATGATCACTGGGAATTTAGGATTGGACTGAGAAGCAGCGAATCAGTTCGAAGGTGGCTGGGATTTTAACATGTGGACTGGGAGCTACACAGCAGCCATATTCCGCTTGTGAAGTGGAGCACAGGGGAGAAAATAAAAGCAGATATGCAGAGAGAAAAGGACTGTAGCAGGGCGGGGGCAGCAGAGACACAAGATTGCTTTACAGGCCAGGCGTGGTGGCTCATGCGGGCGGATCACTTGATGTTAGGAGTTCGAGACCAGCCTGGCCAACATGGCGAAGCCCCGTCTCTACTAAAAATACAAAAATGAGCTGGGTGTGGCGGCGCACACTTTTAATCCCAGCTATTCAGGAGGTTGAGGTGGGAGGATCGCTTGAACTCAAGAGGTAGAGGTTGCAGTAAGCCGAGATCGCACCACTGCACTCCAGCCTGGGTGACAGAGCAAGACCCTGTCTCGAAAAAAAATTTTAAAATGGATGTTCATCAACTGGTGAATGGATAAGTACACGTAGTGCAGTCATACAATGGAATACTATACTGCAGTAAAAGGAGCAAATGATTACTGCACTCCCTTGGATGAACCTCAGATACATTGTGCTGAATGAAAGAAGCCAAGCTCCAGTGGTTCCATTTATATAACATTCTGGAAAAATCAAATTATAGGGGCAGGCTGGGCGTAGTGGCTCATGACTATAATCCCAGTATTTTAGGAGGCCAAGACGAGAGGATCACTTGAGCCTGGGAGTTCAAGACCAGCCTGGGCAACATAGTGAAACCCTGTCTCTACAAAAAATACAAAAATTATCTGGGTGTGGTGGCACGCACCTGTCGTCCTAGCTACTTGAAAGGCTGAGGTGGGAGGATTACTTGACCCCAGGAGGCGGAGGTTGTAGTGAGCCAAGATTGCACCACTGTACTCCAGCCCGGGCAACACAGCAAGATTCCGACTAAAAAACAAAAAATTGTAAGGACAGAAATCAGGTCAGTAGTTGCCAAGGGGTAAGGGCAGACGGTGAAGTACAAAGGAGCACAGAGAACTTTTGGGGAATGGAGTTATACTATATCTTTTTGTTTGTTTGTTTGTTTTTGAGACAGGGTCTTGCCCTGTCGCCCAGGCTGGAGTGCAATGGCACAATCTCGGCTCACTGCAACCTCTGCCCCACGGGTTCAAACGATTCTCCTGCCTCAGGCTCCAAAGTAGCTGGGACTACAGGCGCCCACCACCATGCCCGGCTAATTTTTGTATTTTGTAGAGATGGGGTTTTGCCTGTTGGCCAGGCTGGTCTCAAACTCCTGATGTCAGGTGATCCACCCACCGTGGCCTCCCAAAGTGCTGGGATTACAGGTGTGAGCCACCATGCCTGGCCGAGCTATACTATATTTTGATTGTGGTGACAGTTATACAACTGCCTGTATTGGGCAAAACTCATAGAACTGACTGGGTGCGGTGGCTCACACCTGTAATCCCAGCACTTTGAGAGGCCGAGACGGGCAGATCACCTGAGGTTGGGAGTTTGAGACCAGCCTGACAAACATAGAGAAACCCTGTCTCTACTAAAAATACAAAATTAGCCGGGCGTGGTGGCACATGCTTGTAGTCCCAGCTACTCAGGAGGCTGAGGCAGGAGAATCCCTTGAACCTGGGAGGCAGAGGTTGCGGTGAGCTGAGATCGTGCCATTGCACTCCAGCCTGCTCAACAAGAGTGAAACTGTCTCAAAAAAAAAAAGAAAAAAAAAAAACTCATAGAACTGTATACCTAAAAAGTGAATTTTACTGCATGTAAATCATTTCTTAATAAACCTGACATTTAAAACAAAAACAAGTTTGGCAGTTTCTCAAAAAGTTAAACACAGAATAAACATATGGTCCAGCAATTCTACAGCCAGGTGTATAGCCAAAAGAGTTGAAAGCCAGGACTCAAACAGTAGCATTATTCACAATAGCCAAAAGCTGGAAACAACTCAAATGTCCATTGAAGATGAATGCATAAACAAAATGTGGTATATATTATTTTCCTTTTTTTTTCTTTTTTTTTTTCTGAGACAGAGTCTGACCCTGTCGCCCAGGCTGGAGAGCAGCGGCGTGATCTCGGCTCACTGCAACCTCCACCTCCCAAGTTCAAGTGATTCTCCTGCCTCAGCCTCCCAAGTAGCAGGTGCATGCCACCACAAAAATATGATATATATTAATACATACAATGGAATATTATTCAGTCATAAAAAGGAATAAGGCCGGGCACCTATAATTCTGGCGTATTGGGAGGTCAAAGCGGGAGGATCACTTAAGCCCAGGATTTCAAGATGAGTGTGGGCAACATGACCAGACTCTGTCTCTACTAAAAATAAACAAATTGCCGGGCGCGGTGGCTCAGGCCTGTAATCCCAGCACTTTGGGAGACCGAGGCGGGCAGATAACCAGGTCAGGAGATCGAGACCATCCTGGCAAACACAGTGAAACCCCGTCTCTACTAAAAATACCAAAAATTAGCCGGGCATGGTGGCAGGTGCCTGTAGTCCCAGCTACTCGGGAGGCTGAGGCAGGAGAATGGCGTCAACCCGGGAGGCAGAGTTTGCAGTGAGCCAAGATCGCACCACTGCACTCCAACCTGGGTGACAGAGCGAGACTCTGTCTCAAAAAAGAAAAACAAGGTGGGGCACGGTGGCTCACGCTTGTAATCCCAGCACTTTGGGAGGCTGAGGTGGGTGTATCACGAGGTCAAGAGATGGAGACCATCCTGGCCAATGTGGTGAAACCCCGTCTCTACTAAAAATACAAAAAATTAGGTGGGCATGGTGGTGCACACCTGTAGTCCCAGCTACTCAGGAGGCTGAGGCAGGAGGATCGCTTGAACCTGGGAGTTGGAAGTTACAGTGAGCTGAGATCGCACCACTGCACCCCAGCCTGGTGACAGAGGGGGACTCCACCTCAAAAACAAAACAAAACAAAAGTATGCTTAGTGAAATGAAATAGTATCATAAAAACGTATTGTACTAATTTAATATTTGATAAATGGGATTTCTTTTCATTTATATTCTTTATTAGGGAGGTCGAACGTCCCTCCTCATTAATTTTTTTTTATTGTTTTTTTTTTTTGAGACACAGTTTCACTCTTGTTGCCCATGCTGGAGTGCAATGGCGCAATCTTGGCTCACTGCAACCTCTGCCTCTCAGGTTCAAGCGATTCTCCTGCCTCAGACTCCCGAGTAGCTGGGATTACAGGCGTGTGCTACCATGCCCGGCTAATTTTGTATTTTTAGTAGAGATGGGGTTTCACCATGTTGGTCAGGCTGGTCTCAAACTCCCGACCTCAGGTGATCCGCCCGCCTCGGCCTCCCAAAGTGCCTCCCAAAGGGATTACAGGCGTGAGCCACCACGCCCCGCCATCCCCCCCATTTATATATTTGTAACCTCTTTTTTGTTTATGTTTTTTTGTTTTGTTTTTTGTTTTTGGTAGAGACGGGGTTTTGCCATGTTGCCCAAGCTGGTCTCGAACTACTGGACTCAAGCAATCCACTTGCTGTGGGCTCTCAAAGTGTTGGGTTTACAGGCGTGGGGCTGTCACGCCCAGCCTGTTTATTTGTCAATGTTCTTGGTGCATTTTTCTATTGTCGTATCCACCTTTTCCTCATAGATTAGTAAGAGACCATAAACCATTTGTCTATTACATATGTTGCAAGCATTTCCCCCAGTTTGCCATTTGTGTTTCGACTTTGTGAAGAGATTTTGGCACCAAAAAGCATGGTGAGCCAGATGTGGTGGCTGATGCCTGTAATCCCAGCACTTTGGGAGGCCAAGGCAGGTGAATCACTTGAGGCCAGGAGTTTGAGACCAGACTGGCCAACATGGTAAAACCTTGTTTCTACAAAAATGCAAAAATTAGGGCTGGGCGCGTTGGCTCACACTTATAATCCCAGCACTTTGGGAGGACGAGGTGGGTGGATCACCTGAGGTCAGGTGTTCGAGACCAGCTTGGCCAACATGGTGAAACCCCATGTCTACTGAAAATACAAAAATTAGCCGGACGTGGTGGCGGGTGCTTGTAATCCCAGCTACTCAGGAGGCTGAGGCAGAATAATCACTTGAACCCGGGAGGTGGAGGTTGCAGTGAGCCAAGATTGCGCCATTGCACTCCAGCCTGGGTGACGAGTGAAATTCCGTCTCAAAAAAAAAAAAAAAGCAAAAATCTCCCAGGTACTCCAGAGTCTGACGCGGGAGAATTGCTCAGACCTGAGAGGAGGAACCTGTGGGTGAGCTGAGATCTTGCTGCTGCACTGCCTGGGCTACAGAGCGAGACCCTGTCTCAAAAGAAAAAGAATGTGGTGGGCTTTTTGTTTTGTTTTGGTAGTCAGAACTATTATCTTTTCCTTCCTGTTTTCCACCCTTAGGGCCATATTTAGGAAGTCCTCTACCACCCACAATCATAATAGTACTCATTTTCTTTCTAGAACATTTATGGTTTCATTTTGCACCTTACTTTGCATGTGGTACAGAGTAGACATAAAAATAACTAACTTGTATGAGGCACATTCTGTGTAATAGGCACCGTGGTTTTACTTTTGTATACTCATTATCCCTTTTAATCCTCATAATCATGTGAGGTAGTCATTTTTATTACCTTGCTTTTAAATATGGGAGAAATTAGGCTTTGGGAAGTTAAGGATCTTGCCTGCAATTTACACAGCTAATCAGTGGCAAAACTGGCATTCAAACCCCAAGTCTGTTTACTTTCAAAGGTCTTTGTGTGTGTATGTGTGACAGCGTCTCCTCTGTCACCTAGGCTGGAGTGCAGGGGCACGATCATAGGTCACTGAAGCCTCAACCTCCCAGGCTCAGTTGATCTTCCACTTCAGCCTCCTGAGTAGCTGAGACCACAGGTGTGTGCCACCAAGCCTGGTTAGTTTTTTAAAGATTATTCGTAGAGATGGGGTCTCCCTATGTTGCCCCATCTTACTTTCAAGGGTCTTAATCATTGCTCTGTATTTTTCTACCTTTACTCTCAAATTTTTAGTCATTTTTTCTGGTATCATTTGTCAATTCAGCCTTTCCCCCACTGGTTGATGCCACAATTTTTTTTTTTTTTTTGAGACAGAGTTTCACTCTTGTTGCCCAGGCTGGAGTGCAGTGGCACAGTCTTGGCTCACTGCAGCCTCCGCTTCCTGGATTCAAGCGATTCTCCTGCCTCAGCCTCCTGAGTAGCTAGGATTACAGGTGCATGCCACCATGCCCGACTAATTTTTTGTATATTATTTTTTTATTTTTTCTTGAGACCGAGTCTCGCTCTGTCACCCAGGCTAGAGTGCAGTAGCTCGGTCTCCGCTCACTGCAACCTCCGCCTCCCGGGTTCAAGCAACTCTTCTGCCTCAGCCTCCTGAGTAGCTGGGACTACAGGTGTGCACCACCACATGCCTGGCTAATTTTTGTATTTTCAGTAGAGATGGGGTTTTGCCATGTTGGCCAGGCTGGTCTCAAACTCCTGACCTCAAGTGATCCACACACCTTGGCCTCCCAAAGCGCTGGGATTACAGGCGTGAGCTTTGGTGCCTGGCCGATTGACGCCACTCTTAATATCTAATAGCTTTTGATAATTTTTGAGGTCTATTTCTGCCCGTTTTTTCTCTTCTATTGATTCTTCTGTCCATTCCAGTGTGCACATAGCATACTGTTCTAGTGACTGCTGCATTATTTATACATTCTATTATCTGGTAGGCCAAGTCACGGATAGATGATCTTCTTTTTCAAAGTTTTCAAATTTTTCTTTCATAATGTATTCTTCCAGAAAATCTTTAGAATTATATTGCAAAGTCCTCCAGAAATTCCACTGAGGTTTTTGCTGAAATTGCATGAAAAAGGCTACTGGGGGCTGCGGCTGTCTTGTGTGCGGAGAGTTGAGCTCATCAGGTTCATCCACTCATGGTGCCCATGGTCTTTCACGGTCTCCCATTCATTTGAACCCCACCCTTACTCTTGGTCCACATTCCCCTTCCCCTCCCACATAAACACCCACCATTATGTGTTTCTTGGAAACATAGGTGTAGTAAAAAACATACTCCTGTTTTGTGTGTATGGTTTTTTTTTTCTTTTTGATTTCTTTTTCTTTTTCTTTTTCTTTTTTTTTTTTTTTAACACAGAGTTTGCTCTTGTTGCCCAGGCTGGAGTGCAGTGGTGCGATCTTGGCTCACTGCAACCTCTGCCTCATGGGTTCAAGCGATTTTCTTACCTCAGCCTCCCTAGTAGCTGGGATTACAGGTGCCCACCACCATGCCCGGCTAATTTTTTGTATTTTTAGTAGAGACAGGATTTCTCCATGTTGGTCAGGTTGGTCTCAAACTCCTGACCTCAGGTGATCTGCCCGCCTCGGCCTCCCAAAGTGCTGGGATTACAGGCTTGAGCCACCGTGCCCGGCTTCTTTTCTTTTCTATTTTTATTATTTCTGCAATAAAAGCCACATATGTTGTATGTTTTCTATTTAAATAAACAGTATGGGTCCAAGAATCTTTTTCTATTCCTTTCCAACACTGTTTTTATGTTTGTTTGTTTGTTTGTTTGTTTGAGATGGAGTCTCACTCTGTCGCCCAGGCTGGAGTGCAGTGGCACAGTATCGGCTCACTGCAACCTCCGCCTCCCGGGTTCAAGCGATTCTCCTGCCTCAGCCTCCATAGTAGGTGGGGATAACAGGTGCGCCACCACGCACAGATAATTTTTGTATTTTTAGTAGAGACGGGGTTTTACCATGTTGGCCAGGCTGGTCTGGAACTCCTGACCTCAAGTGATCCACCCGCCTCTGCCTCCCAAAGTGCTGGGATTACAGGCGTGAGCCACTGCGTCCAGCCCCAGCACTGTTTTTCTGACCTCCTCCGGCCGCTGCCTGTCCACCTCGCTCCTGGGTCCTACCGCTGAGCAGCAGCACATGAGATGCACCCAAATATTCCATTAGTGATGGACACCACCTCCTCATTTTTACAACAAATCTGCAGTGAACATCCTTGTACACGACCCCTTGTGGATGGGCGAACTCTCAGATGTACAGAATTCACCTCCCAACCCAGGCTGAGATTGCTGGTTGCTGGGTCTTATATCCTTGACTTCCCCAATTCAGCCACATTTGTTTCTTAAATATCTGCACCAGTTTGCACTCCCATAATGAGACAAAAGGATGATCATTTCTCCAATTTTCACCCTGCTATTTTCTAACTCTAATTTTTGTCCCTCTGCGAGGTATAAAATGGTATCTCATTGTTTTAACTTGCATTTCATTGATTACCAGTGAGTTTGAACATCTGTTTTTTATTATTTCATTTTATTTATGAGACGGACTCTAGCCCTGTCACCCAGGCTGGAGTGCAGTGACTCGATCTCGGCTCACTGCAACCTCCGCCTCTCAGGTTAAAGTGATTCTCCTGCCTCAGCCTCCCGAATAGCTGGGACTACAGGCCCGTGCCACCACACCTGGCTAATTTTTTGTGTTCTTTTTCGTAGAGACAGGGTTTCACTGTGTTAGCCAGGATGGTCTCGATCTCTTGACCTCGTGATACACCCTCCTTGGTCTCCCAAAGTGCTGAGATTATAGGCGTGAGCCATGGCACCTGGCCAGGAACTGCTTCTTTTACAAATTGTCAGCTAATGCTGATGTTCAGCACCAACCTCCACTGCACTTTGAGTTATTCACTGCTCCCAATTCCTGAATCTTTCCAGTCATCTTGCTGCTTTTTGCTTCTCGTGGTCTTCTCTCTCTGCAGGACCTAGAAAAGAGAAAGCTGAAACCTAAATCAATTATCGCTAATCCTTCCCGTCTTCCAAAATGGGGTCGACATCACTCATATTCTCTGCAACTGTTCTCTTTCACCTGTGGATTTATCACATTTTTAGTTCTTTGCTGTTACTTTATTGGGGTAACAGGAAGAACCAAATAAATATTTGGATTCAGGCCAGAGCTGTGGCTCTTGCCTATAATCCCAGTACTGTGGAAGGCCATGCAAGGCAGATCGCTTGAGTCCAGGAGTTTGAGACCAGCCTGGGCAACATGATGAAATCCCGTGTCTACAAAAAATGCGAAAATTAGCTGGATGTGGTAGCACATGTCCGTACTCCCAGCTACTCAGGAAGCTGAGGCAGGAGGATCACTTGAGCCCGGGAGATGGAGGCTGCAGTGAGCTGAGACCATGACATGGCACTCCAGCCTGGGTGACAGAGCAAGACCCTGTCTCAAAAAAAAAAAAAGAAATCAGATTTGATTGGCATGTTTAACCAGACATTCATTATCAAATTTTCCCTATTTTACCTTATTTTATTTTTTTTTGAGATGGATGGAGCGTTGCTTTGTCACCCAGACTGTAGTACAGTGGTGCAGTCTCGGCTTACTGCAATCTCCGCCTCCTGGGTTGAAGCGATTCCCATGCCTCAGCCTCCTGAGTAGCTGGGATTACAGACATGCACTAGAACACCCAGCTAATTTTTGTATTTTTTATAGATACTCGGGAGGTTGAGGCAGGAGAATCACTTGAACCCGCAGGGCGGAGGTTGCAGTGAGCCGAGATTGCGCCACTTCACTCCAGCCTGGGCAAAAGAGTGAGATTCCATCTCAAAAAAAAAAAAAAAAGAATTTTTATTTTTCAGGCTGAATAATATTTCATGTACTATATACCATATTTTATTTATCCATTCATCTGTTTATTATTATTGAGTTTAGTGTGTTGATCTTCTATTTGGTCTTACTGCAAAATTTTGTTTATCGCTAAGATCTTGTTGATTTATATATATATATATATATATATATATATATTTTTTTTTTTTTTTTTTTTTTTTTTTTGAGACAGAATCTTGCTCTGTCGCCCAGGCTGGAGTGCAGTGGTGCGATCTCGGCTCACAGCAACCTCCGCCTCCCGGGTTCAAGCAATTCTCCTGTCTCAGCCTCCTGAGTAGCTGGGACTACAGGTGTGTGCCACCACACCCAGCTAATTTTTTGTATTTTTAGCAGAGACGGGGTTTCACCACACTGGCCAGGCTGGTCTCGAACTCATGATCTCAGGTGATCCACCCGCCTTGGCCTCCCAAAGTGTTGGGATTACAGGCATGAGCCACCAAGCCTGGCCTTTTCTTTTTTGAGTTGGCCAGGCTGGATTCGAACTCCTGACCTCAGGTCATCCACCTGCCTCGGCCTCCCAAAGTGCTGGGATTACAGTCATGAGCCGCCTCGCCCGGCTGGTTCATATGTATTGACTGTACCATCTACAAATATTTTTCTCTCTTTTCTTCTGTATCAATTCCCTATTGATGCTGTAACAAATTACCACAATTTTTTTTTTTTTTCTCGAGACAGAGTCTCGCTCTTTCGCCCAGGCTGGAGTGCAGTGGCATGATCTCAGCTCACTGCAACCTCTGCTTTCCTTCCCGTTTCAAGAGATTTTCCTGCCTCAGCCTCCCCAGTAGCTGGGAAGATAGGCACCCGCCACCATGCCCGGCTAATTTTTGTACTTTTAGTAGAGATGGGGTTTTACCATGTTGGCCAGGATGGTCTCGAGCCCTTGACCTCGTGATCTGCCGGCCTTGGCCTCCCAAAGTGCTGGGATTACAGGCGTGAGCCACTGCGCCCGGACATCCTTATATTTCTCATTTTTAAATTTGGTCTATTTTATTGGCCATCACATACACGTTACAATCTTAACGGCTTAAAGCAACATACGTTTGTTATCTTGTGGCTTAAAGCTACATACTTTTGTTATCTTATTACAATCTATCAGAAGTCCAAAATGAATGTCACTGGGCTAAAATCAATGTGCTGGTAGGCCTGCATTCTTTTCTGGAAGCTGTAGAGGCAAATTGTTTTGTTTTGTTTTGTTTTTTGCATTTTCCACTTTCTAGAAGCTGCCTGCATTCTTTTCTGGAATCTCTAGAGGAAAATTCTTTTTTTTTTTTTTTGCATTTTCCACTTTCTAGAAGCTACCTGCACTCCTCTGCTGGTGGCCCCCTTCCATCTTCAAAACCATCAATGTGCCAGGCGTGGTGGCTCACACCTGTAGTCCCAGCACTTTGGGAGGCCAAGGCAGGAGGATCACTTGGGCCCAGGAGTTTGATATCAGCCTGGGAACATGGTAAAGCCCTGTCTCTACAAAAACAAACAAACAAACAAAAAAACAAACGCAGAAATTAGCTGTGCATGATAGTACGTGCCTGTAGTCCCAGCTACTCGGGAGGCTGAGGTGGAAGGATTACCTGAGCCCAGGAGGTCGAGGCTGCAGTGAGCTGAGACTGAGACACTACACTCTAGCCTGGGCAACAAAGCCAGACCCTGTCTCAAAAAAACCCCACATCTCCGGCCAGCAGAGTCTTTCTCTCATAGTATCACTCTGACCCTCCTTTTTCCTTCTTTCATTTATAAATGTCTTTGTGATCACGTGACCCACCCAGGTACTCCAGAAAAATCTCCCAATCTCAAAATTATTGCAATAGTCACATCTGCAAAATCCTTCCTGCCATGAAAGGTAACACATTCACAAATATGGGGAGTTGGGACATGGACATCTTTGGGGGCCACTCTTCTGCCTACAATACCTGCTTGCCCTTATACTTCTTTTTTTAAAATTTTTATTGTTTTGAGACAGGGTCTCACTCTGTCGTCCAGGCTGGAGTGGAGTGGCACAATCTGGGTTCACTGCAACCTCCACCTCCTGGGCTCAAGTGATCCCCCTACCTCAGCCTCCCAAGTAGCTGGGACTACAGGCCCGTGCCACCAAGCCTGGCTAATTTTTTCTTTTTCTTTTTTTTTTTTTTGAGACAGAGTCTTGCTCTGTCACCCAGGCTGGAGTGCAGTGGCATGATCTTGGCTCACTGCAACCTCCGCCTCTCAGGTTCAAGAGATTATCCTGCCTCAGCTTCCCGAGTAGCTGGGATTACAGGTGCCCACCACCACACCGGCTAATTTTTGTATTTTTAGTACAGACGGGGTTTCACCATATTGGCCAGGCTGGTCTCAAACTCCCAACCTCAGGTGATCCGCCTGCTTCAGCCTCACAAAGTGCTGGGATTACAGGCGTGAGCCACCGCGCCCAGCCGCCTGGCTAATTTTTGTGGGTTTTTTTGTAGAGATAGGTTTTCACCATTTTCTTCAAGCTGGTCTCAAACTCCTGGGCTCAAGCTATCCACCTGCCTCAGTCTCCCAAAGTGCTGGGACTACAGGCATGAGCCACTGCACTCAGACATCCTTATATTTCTCTCTCTCTTTTTTTTTTTGAGATGGAGTTTTGCTCTTGTCGCCCAGGCTGGCATACAATGGCAAGATCTCGGCTCACTGCAACATCCGCCTCCTGGGTTCAAGCTATTCTCCAGCCTCAGCCTCCCGAGTAGCTGGGATTACAGATATGCGCCACCACACCCTGCTAATTTTTGTATTTTTAGCAGAGACGGGGTTTCAGCATGTTGGCCAGGATGGTCTTGATCTCCTGACCCTGTGATCCTCTGCCTTGGCCTCCCAAAGTGCTGAGTTTACAGGCATGAGCCACCACGCCCGGCCTTGGAATGTTTAAAATAGGGCTTTTGACAGCAAAGAGTGTTACTGCAATCAAGGAAGTGGATAACCCTCATGACGCAATGGAAAAATATTTGATCAACATGTATCACCTTTTGTTCTTGTCAGTGAGAATGCTCTTATTGAAAGTAAGAGAAAACCCAAACAATGTGGCTTGAATACTAAAGGTAACACAGTAACTTCCGTAACTGAAGGTCCACAGGTAATGCAGCTTCAGGGGTAGGTCAATAAAGCCTGGTTCTGTTTCTCTGGATTCTTCAACTCCTTCCCATGCTGTCAAATCCTCAGGATGGCTTTCTACAAAGTAACAAGATATTGGGCCGGGATCATTTAGGACTATGGGGAGTATTCTCATTCAAATCTGGAGGATTTTCTACAATCATAGAATGGAAGATAGGATTATTTTGCTTGATTTATTTAGACCTAATGTGGTATTGCTTCTCAGCCTTTTGGCTAAGATCAAGTGTAGTCCTAATGTGGCTCGCATCTAGAACTACAAGTGAGTTACATCCTACCCAAACCATTTTTTCATTTAAAAAAATAATAATAGGCCAGGTACGGTGGCTCACACCTGTAATCCTAGCACTTTGGGAGGCCGAGGCGGGCAGATCACGAGGTCTGGAGATCGAAACCACCCTGGCTCACACAGTGAAACCCCATCTGTACTAAAAATACACACACACACACACACACAAATTAGCTGGGCACGGTGGCAGGCACCTGTAGTCCCAGCTACTGGGGAGGCTGAGGCAGGAGAATGGTGTGAACCCAAGAGGCGGAACTTGCAGTGAGCCGAGATCGCACCACTGCACTCCAGCCTGGGCAACAGAGCGAGACTCTGTCTCAAAAATAATAATAATAATAATAATAATAATAATAATAATAATAATAATAGGCCTGGTGTGGTGGCTCATGCCTGTAATCCCAGCACTTTGGGAGGCTGAGGTGGGAAGATCACCTGAGGTCATGAGTTTGAAACTAGCCTGACCAACATGGTGAAACCCCATCTGTAGTAAAAATACAAAAAATTTAGCTGGGCATGGAGGTGGGCGACTGTATTCCCTCCTACTCGGGAGGCTGAGGCAGGAGAATGGCGTGAACCCAGGAGGCGGAGCTTGCAGTGAGCCAAGATCGTGCCACTGCACTCCAGCCTGGGCAACAGAGTGACTCTGTCTCAAAAAAATAATAATAATAAATAATAATAGTAATAATAAATAGCAGTGAGGTCTCACTATTTTGCCCAGGCTGGTCTCAAACTCCTGGGCTCAAATAATCCTGCCTCAGCTTCCCAAAGTGCTGGGATTACAGGCGTGAGCGACCATGCCTGGCCCTACCCAAACTATATGACTAACCCCGGAGGAGGTGGAGTGGAAGCTGGAGAGATAGTCAGAATGTCAGCTACTCTTTGATTCAGCACTGTGATTTCTAAGAATTTTCCTACAGAAAGTACCTACTTGCCGCTACAGGAAGAAAGTGAAATAAAGTCTGGACAGGCAAAAACAAGAGCTAGCCACTAAAGGAAAAGTAGGAACAGACGCCAAATGAAGGAACGATCACATACAAAGTACCTTCTATATCAGTTATTGATCACTGCGTTACAAACCATGGCCAGACTTAACGGCTTGCTCATGAATCTGGATCAGCGATTTGGGCTGAGGTCACCGGAGTGGTTCTGCTGCTGGTCTTCCCTGGAGTCATTCATGTGTCTGTAGTCCTCTAGGGTCTTAAATGGGGCTGGATGGCCTAAGATGACCTCACTCACGTGTCTGGCAATTGGCTGGTTGGACATAGGCAGGCTGCTGCCTGGGCTCAGCCCTGCTGCATAAGGCCTCTCTATTAGGCCAGCCCAGGCTTGCTCACATCACCGGTCTCAGGGTTACAGCCGCTGTCAAAAAGGGGTAATTCCTTTTGTGCAAGTGCTTTTCAAGCCCCTGCTTGCATCACGTTTGCTAATGTCCCGGTGGCCAAGCCCAGATTCAAGGGGTGGAGGAATAATCCCTACCCTTTGACGCAGCATAGTCACGTTGCAAAAGGGATTTGCATAAAGGGATGGGAAAAACTATTGCAGCCAGCCGGGCGCGGTGGCGTGCACCTGTAATCTCAGTTACCCAGGAGGCTGAGGCAGGAGAATCGCTGGAACCCAGGGGGCAGAGGCTGCAGTAATCTGAGATTGTGCCACTGCACTCCAGCCTGTATGATAGAGCAAGACTTCGTCTCAAAAAAAAAAAAAAAAAAAAAGAACAACAAAAAATGATTGCAGCTACCTTTGTAAACAACTGCTTACTCCTGCCACCTACTCAATGTATGTTTTAGTTAGTAAATGTCATGTGCCATGTGCTAGACCCAAGGTTTGAAGGGAAAATTGCTTGACAGGAAATCGCTTTTCTGTCCTCAAGAATTTTTGATCTAGTGAAGAACAAAGATGACTAAATGAGAACCACAGTGCAGCTGAATTTGTACTCTGACGAAGTTTGGGGGACATTATGCGGGGAGGTAGAAGGCACGGGATTCACACTGAGTGAGGCACTGAGCAAAGTCTGCCTGGAAGAAGGGACGGCTGAGGAAGGTCCTGAGACCAAAGGCACAAAATAGCGAGGGAGGAGAAGAAGCAGGGAACACTACAAATTAGAATTAGCAGCTTCAACCAGCCTTTACCCTCCCACCATCTTCCTTCCTTCCTTTCCTTCCCTTTCTTCCTTCCTTCCTTTCCTTCCCTTCCCTTCCCTTCCTTCCTTCCTTTCCTTCCCTTCCCTTCCTTCCTTTCTCTTTCTCTTTCTTCCTCCCTTCCTTCCTTCCCTTCCTTCCCTTCCTTTCCTCCCTTCCTTCCTTTCTCCTTCCTTTCTTCCTTCTTTCCTTCCTTCTTTCTTTCTTTCTTTCTTTCTTTATTCCTTTCTTTCTTCCTTTCTTTCTTTCGACAGAGTCTCACTCTTGTTGCCCAGGCTGGAGTGCAATGGCATGATCTCGGCTGACCACAACCTCCACCTCCCGGGTTCAAGCAATTCTCCTGGCTCAGCCTCCCGAGTAGCTGGGATTACAGGTGCCTGCCACCACGCCTGGCTAAGTTTGTATCTTTAGTAGAGACGTAGTTTCTCCTTGTTAATCAGGCTGGTCTCGAACTCCCGAACTCAAGTGATCCTCCCACCTCAGCCTCCCAAAGTGCTGGGATTACAGGCGTGAGCCACTGCACCCGGCCAACCATCCTCCTTTCACAACGTAAGTACAGAATCAGGAAATCAAGGTGGAGCTCTGAAGTCAAGCAGAAGGAAGGAAATACACCAAGAGCAGTTTTCACCAAGCTCCCAGTCTCTCAAAGTCTCATTAGATTACGTTCTTCTGGCCACGTATGGTGGCTCACGCCTGTAATCCCAGCACCTTGGGAGGCCGAGGTGGGCAGATCACTTAGGATCAGGAGCTCCAGACCAGCCTGACCAACATGGCAAAACCCCATCTCTACTAAAAATACAAAAATTAGCCAGGCATGATGGCACACGCCTGTAGTCCCAGCTACTGGGGAGGATGAGGCAGGAGAATCCCTTGAACCCAGGAGGCAGAGGTTGCAGTGAGCCAAGACTGTGCCACTGCACTCCAGCCTGGGTGACAGAGCGACACTCTGTCTCAAAAAAAAAAAAAAAAAAAAAAGATCCTTTGTAAAAGTGCATTTCCTAGAAGGAGTTTGTGGACAGCATGGCTTTGGGTCTGGAGCAGTCTTTTCCATTCATTCTCAGAGATACAAGCTGTTATAAGTTTCCAGAAGAAGGCAACATCACCAGCACAGCCAAAATGCCCTAAAACAGCAGTCCCCAATGTTTTCAGCACCAGGGACCAGTTTCATGGAAGACAATTTTTCCACAGATTGAGGGGCGGAGGGGATGGTTTTTGGATGAAACTGTTCCACCTCAGATCATCAGGCATTAGATTTTCATTAAGGCGTGTGCAACCCAGATCCCTTGCATGAGCAGTTCACAGTAGGGTTCATACTCCTATGAGAATCTTTTTTTTTTTTTTCGAGATGGAAAATACCACTATTGGCAAGGGAAAAGGGCAAATATTACTGAAAGTCTGAGAGTGAGGCCCAAGCTGCAGGTACAATTTCTTCAAAGCCTCATCTTTTACTCTTAAACCTCATCATAAGTTGTTTATTGTCCCATAATACGTGCACACTTGTTTTAAAATAAAATAATACAAATCATTTCCCATCAAGTCAAATGAATGCCCCATGTTTATCCTGAGGCTACACGTGTCCCAGACATACCACTGTGTATATCCAGGAAACTGCCTCAAGTTGAGAAACACAGAACAACCAGTTCTCCATTGTTTTCGGCATTCCTTGGTGGGTAGAACAATGAATGAAGTCAGACTGTTTTCCTAAGATCCTGGGAGTGGTCAGACATCGGTTTACTCTACTCTGACTCCAGTTCTGGGGATGATTATTCCTCTTTTATTTATTTATTTTTTTATTTTTTGAGGCGGAGTCTTGCTCTGTTGCCCAGGCTGGAGCACAGTGGCGCAATCTCGGCTCACTGCAACCTCCGCCTTCTGGGTTCAAGTGATTCTCCTGCCTCAGCCTCTTGAGTAGCTGGGACTACAGGTGCCCACCACCACGCTCGGATAATTTTTTTGTATTTTTAGTAGAGGGGTTTCACCGTGTTAGCCAGGATGGTCTCGATCTCCTGACCTCGTGATCTGCCATGCTCGGCCTCCCAAAGTGCTGGGATTACAGGCGTGAGCCACTGTGCCCGGCTATTTTTTTTTTTTTTGTTGTTGTTTTTTAGTAGAGGCAGGGTTTCACCGTGTTAGCCATGATGGTCTCCATCTTCTGACCTCATGATCCGCTGCGCTGGGCCTGATTCTTCCTCTTAAGTAAAGCACACCAAATGACGTATCCAAGGACAGCTGGCAGGTCCACAGAGCTGCTGACCTGGGTGTGACATTCCTCAGGCTGGTCCCAGCTATCTCTGATCTGACTTGGTCAACCCTTCCTCATGGTCCGCAGCCCACTTTCTAGGAATTCACACACAGTGACTGCTGCAATTATGTAGTTCAGTCCAACATGCGGTAAATAATTACTGTGTGCAAAAGTTCATCCATAAAAAAGTTTGTGGGGCTGTTTTGTTTCTGTTTTTGTTTTTGTTTTGAGATAAGGTCTGGCTCGGTTGTCCAGGCTAGAGTGCAGTGGCGTGATCACGTCTCACTGCAGCCTCCTCCTCCCAGGCTCAGGTAATCTTCCCCCAGATCCTCCCACCATGGCCTCCCGAGTAGCTGGGACTACAGGCATCCAGCTAATTTGTGTGTGTTTTGTAGAGACAAGGTTTTGCCATGTTGCCCAGGCTGGTCTTGAACTCCTGGGCTCAAGTGATCTGCCTGCCTCGCCTCCCAAAATGCTGGGATTACAAGTGTGAGCCATGGCACCTGGCCTCACAAAAATGTTTGGAGATAGTGGTGATGGTTGCACAACATTGTGAATGTAATTAAAGCCACTGAATTGTACACTTTAAAATAGTTAAAATGGCAAATGTTATATATATTTTAACACAGCATTTATTTATTTATTTATTTATTTTTGAGACAGAGTTTCCTTCTTGTTGCCCAGGCTGGAGTGCAGTGGTGCTATCTTGGCTCACTGCAACCTCCAACTCACAGGTTCAAGCGATTCTCCTGCCTCAGCCTCCCAAGTAGCTGGGATTACAGCAGCCCACCACCATGCCTGGCTAATTTTTGTATTTTTAGTAGAGATGGGGTTTTGCCATGTTGGCTGGTCTGGTCTTGAATTCCTGACCTCAGGTGATTCACCTGCCTCGGCCTCCCAAAGTGTTGGGATTACAGGCATGAGCCACCGTGCCTGGCCCTATTTTACCACACTTTAAAAAACAGTTTTATAGCCGGGGGCACTGTGGCTCATGCCTGTAATCCCAGCATTTTGAGAGGCCGAGGCAGGCAGATCACGAGGTCAGGAGCTTGAGACCATCCTGGTCAACATGGTGAAACCCCGTCTCTATTAAAATACAAAAAGTTAGCCGGGCATGGCGTGGCATATGCCTGTAGTCCCAGCTACTCGGGAGGCTGAGGCAGGGGAATCGTCTGAACCTGGGAGGTGGAGGTAGCAGTGAGTGGAGATCGTGCCACTGTACTGCAGCCTGGGTGACAAAGCAAGATTCTGTCAAAAAAATAGTTTTATAAAAAGTTCATCCAGGCCGGGCGCGGTGGCTCATACCTGTAATCCCAGCACTTTGGGAGGCCGAGGCGGGCGGATCACGAGGTCAGGAGATCGAGACCATCCTGGCTAACACGGTGAAACCCCATCTCTACTAAAAATACAAAAAATTAGCCGGGCGAGGTGGCGGGAGCTTGTAGTCCCAGCTAGGTGGGAGGCTGAGGCAGGAGAATGGCGTGAACCCCGCCAGGGGGCGGAACCTGCAGTGAGCCGAGATCACTGCCACTGCACTCCAGCCTGGGCGACAGCGAGACTCCGTCTCAAAAAAAAAAAAAGTTCATCCACAGATAAACAACATTTGATCCCAGCCTCTAAGATATCCTGGGGTTGAGAGATGGCAGCTGCCTTCCAGATGGATGGAGCTACTAGCCAGGAGAACCAATCTAGCCCTCTAATCTCCTCACTAAAACCCCTTCAGTGGCCTCCCATTACTCTTGGGATCTTTGGCAAAAGCCTTGACAGGCTTATGGTGCCCTGTGTTGTCACCTTTCCAACCTCATTTCGTGCTGATCCTCTACTTGTTTTTTCTATCCCAGCCACCCTGGTCTTTCTTCTCTTCCTTGGAACACAGCAAGCTCCTTTCTACCCCAGGACTTTTGCATAGGACTTTTCCTTTGCTTGAAAACCCTTTCCTCCTCACTCTATTGCTAACTCAACCCAAGTGTCATTTCCTCAAAGAAGCCCTCCTGGTATGGGTCAAGTTCCGTGTTACATTTGCTCATAGAACTACATCTTCCTGTTACAGTGGCAAACCACAGAAAAACTCCAAATAACAGGGGCTTACACAAAATTAAACCTCATTTCTTTTGCACTTAGAAGTCCTGGGTGCTGGGCATGGTAATGCCTGCCTATAGTCCCGGCTACTTGGGAGGCTGAGGTGGGAGGATCACTTGAGTCCAGGAGTTCTGGGCTGTAGTGCACTGGGCCAATCAGGTGTCCACACTAAGTTCAGCATCAATATGGTGACCTCCAAGGAACAGGGGACCACCAGGTTGCCTAAGGAGGGGTAACAGGCCCAGGTCAGAAACGGAGCAGGTCAAAACTCCTGTGCTGGCCGGGCGCGGTTGTTCACACCTGTAATCCTAGCACTTTGGGAGGCCGAGGTGGGCGGATCACCAGAGGTCGGAAGTTTGAGACCAGCCTGACCAACATGGAGAAATTCCATCTCTACTAAAAATACAAATTAGCTGGGTGTGGTGGTGCATGCCTGTAATCCCAGCTACTTCGGAGGCTGAGGCAGGAGAATCGCTTGAACCCGGGAGATGGAGGTTGCAGTGAGCCGAGATGGCGCCATTTCACTCCAGCCTGGGCAACAAGAGCAAAACTCCGTCTCAAAAAACAAAACAAAAAACAAAAACAAAAAAACTCCTGTACTGATCAGTAGTGGGATCACACCTGTGAACAGCCACTGCACTCCAGCCTGGGCAACATAGTGAGACCTCATCTCTAAAAAAAAAAGTCCTGGGCCTCATGGTGCCTAAGAGCCAAGCTGCTGCTGCTTTCTCCTTCTTCCCCTTCCTCTTCATCTTCCTTCTTCCTTCTTCTTTCCTCCTCCTCCTTCTTCTTCTTTCTTCCTTCTGTTTTGAGACAGGGTCTTGCACTGTTTCCCAGGCTGGAATGCAGTGGTGCAATCATAGCTCACTGCACTCCAGCCTGGACAACAGAGCTGAACCAGCTCAAGAGATCCTCTTATCTCAGTCTTCCAACTAGCTAGGATCACAGGTACACACCTCTGTGCTTCACTATGTTTTAAATTTTTAGTAGAGAAGGGGTCTCACTATGTTGCCCAGGTTGGTCTTGAACTCCTGGGCTCAAGTGATTCTCTTGCCCAAAGTGCTGGGATTACAGGTGTGAACCACGACACCAGCCCCACGGGCTTCCTTTATTTTCTTGCTCCAATATACATGGTTTTCATTCTCAAGGTCGCTTGATAGTCCAAGACAGCAGCTGGAGCTCCAGCCATTATGTCCACATTCCCACAAGTGGGAATAAGAAAGAGGAAAAACGGGCAAGCCTCCTCCCTTTACAGACATCTCCTACAAGTTGAACATCCCACTTCTGCATATGTAGGACTGGCCAGAATTTAGCCACAAGGCCACATCTGGTTGCAAGAAGCCTGGAAAATGTAGTCTTTATTCTAGGTACCCATATGTCTATGTAAAAATCAAAGGTTCTATTACTCATAAAGAGGGACAGAAGGAACACTGAGGTACTGCTAGAGCCTCTGCCATCAAAGCATTTGTTTTATTCATTTTGTAATCACACATTCATTGAAAGGTGATAATTCAACTAACATCTTTTTCCCTCACTAGACTATAAGCTCCATGAGGGCAGGGCATTGTGTGCTTTTGTTTATTGTTGAATCCCCTGTGTCTAGCATGGTACTTGGTGTATAATGGTCATTCCTGAAAGATTTGTGGGCTGAATGTGGAAAGGAGGGTTTTTTTGTTTACAGACAGGGTGTCATTCTGTTGCCCAGGCTGGAGTACAGTGGTGCCATCATAGCTCACTGCAGCCTTGACCTCCAGGGTTCAAGTGATCTTCTTGCCTCAGCCTGCGGAGTAGCTGGGACTACAGGTGCATGCCTCTACGCCTGGCTAATTTTTTTTTTATGGTAGAGACAGAGTCTCACTATGTTGCCCAGGCTAGTCTTGAACTTCTTTCTGGGCTCAAGCAATCCTTCTACCTCAGTCTACCAAAGTGCTGGCATTACGGATATGACACACCATGCCTGGGTGCTCTGGGTCTGAAGTCCGTGCCATTAACCATCACTCAAGTCTGTTGGAGGACTAGGCTGCAAGGTGGTAAATTTCATCTCCCCTAGGCCTTTCTAATAGTACCAGGCTATCTCTGTGGCCCCCAGTGCAGCCTTGGCACCTCAGGCCAACTCAGCCCAATAAAACCCAGAGTTTTCCATTACAACTAAACCACTGTCCTACTGAGCAAGATTAAGAGAGGAAAACATCAGTGCTCACATCTACTAGGATGGCTATTATTTAAAAGAAAAAAACAAATGCCACACAGTGGCTCACATCTGTAATCCCAGCACTTTGGGAGGCCAAGGCGGGCAGATCACTTGAGGCCAGGAGTTCGAGACCAGCTTGGCCAACATGGTGAAACCCCACCCATCTCTATTAAAAATACAAAAGTTAGCCAGGCATGGTGGTGCACGCCTGTAGTCCCAGCTACTCAGGAGGCTGAGGCACAAGAATCGCTTAAACTCGGGAGGTAGAGGCTGCAGTGAACTGACATTGCGCCACTGCACTCCAGTCTGGGCAACAGAGAGAGACTCTGTCATAAACAAACAAACAAACAAACAAATAAATAAATAAATAAATCGAAAGAAGAAAGGAAGGAAAGGAAAGGGCCAGGTGCAGTGGCTCCTGCCTGTAATCTCAGCACTTTGGGAGGCTGAGGCAGGTGGATCACCTGACGTCAGGAGTTCGAGACCACCCTGGCCAACACGGTGAAACCCCATTTCTACTAAAAATACCAAAAATTACCTGGGTGTAGTGGTCGGCGCCTGTAATCCCAGCTACTCAGGAGGCCGAGACAGGAGAATCGCTTGAACCCGGGAGTGGGAGGTTGCAGTGAGCCGAGATCACATCATTGTACTCCAGCCTGGTTAACGAGAGTGAAACCCCGTTTCAAAAAAACAAAAAAAAACAAGTGTTTGCTGGGCCTGGCGGCTCACGTGTGTAAGCTCAATGCTCTGGGAGGCCAAAGCAGGAGGATTACCTGAGACTAGGAGTTCAAGACCAGCCTGGGCAACATCGTGAGATCCTATCTCTAAAAAAAAAAGAAATAAAATAACAAGTGTTGGTGAGGGTGCGAAGAAACTGGAACCCATGTGGATTCTGTGGGAATGTAAAATGAGGCCGCTGCTGCAGGAAACAGTACAGTGAATCCCTACAAAACTAAGTGTGGAATTACCATCCAACCCAGCAATTCCACTTTTTTTTTTTTTTTTGGTGGAGTCTCACTCTGCTGCCCAGGCTGGAGTGCAGTGGCGCCACCTCAGCTCACTGCAGCCTCTGCCTCCTGGATTCCAGTGATTCTCCTGCCTCAGCCTCCCGAGTAGCTGGGATTACAGGAACGTGCCACCACGCCTGGCTAATTTTTGTGTTTTTAGTAGAGACGGGGTTTTACCATGTTGGCCAGGCTGGTCTTGAACTCCTGATCTGAGGTGAACCTCCCACGTCAGCCTCCCAAAGTGCTTGGATTACAGGTGTGAGCCACCACGCCCAGCCTCAGTAATTCCACTTCTGGGTGTAGACCCAAAATAATTAAAGCAGGGACCGCAACGTATATTTGTTCACCTACATTCACAGCTGCATTATTCACAACAGCCAAGTAGAAGCTACCCAAGTGTCCATCGACAGGTGAATGGACACACAAAATGTGGTAGATTCATACAAGGAGATACATTAGTAAGCCTGAAAATGTGAGAAAATTCTGGCCCACGCTACAACATTGAAAACATCATGTGAAGTGAAATAAGCTAGTCACAAAAAGAAAAATGTTTTATGATTCCACTTATATGAGGTTTCTAGGGTAGTCAAAATCATGGGGACAGAAATTAAGAGGGTGGTTTGTGGGCTGGGGGGAGGGGAGAATGGGGAGTTAGTGTTTAATGGGTGCAGTTTCAGGGGAGGATGATGAAAAAGTTATGGAGACAGATGGGTGTGATGGTTGTACAACTAGGAATGTACTTACTGCCGCTGAACCATACACTTAAAAATGGTTAAATGGAGGCTGGGTGCAGTGGCTCATGCCTGTCATCCCAGCACTTTGGGAGGCCGAGGCAGGAGGATCACTTGAGGTCAGGAGTTTGAGACCAGGCTGGCCAACACGGTGAAACCCCATCTCCACTAAAAATACAAAAATTAGCCGGGCATGGTGGTGTGCACCTGTAATCCCAGCTACTCGGGAGGCTGAGGCAGGAGAATGCTTGAACCTGGGAGGCGGAGGTTGCAGTGAGCCGAGATGATGCCACTGCACTCCACTCCAGCCTGGGCGACAGAACAAAACTCCGTCTCAAAAAAAAAAGCATCTGCAGCCCTGTCTGTCGGAGGAAGACGGGACTGTCGAGCTGCGGGGCTGAGGGTAGGGCAGTGGCAGGAGTCCTTTCCTGCCCTAGGAGTCATAGTCATTCAGCCTGCATGGGCAGGGTGTCCCGTTCTGTTACTGTGCTTGACAACAACGTGGTCCAACCAAGATCAGCCCATGTAGCAGGGATCCTTTTGACATCACTAGAAAGAGAAAGCCAAAGCATTGCCACATCTTTTTTCTGGTTATTGGAGGGCATTTGTTTAAATGACATTTAATTTTTTTTTTTCTTTTTTGAGACAGAGTCTCGCTGTGTCGCCCTGGCTGGAGTGCAGTGGCGCGATCTCGGCTCACTGCAAGCTCCACCTCCCGGGTTTACACCATTCTCCTGCCTCAGCCTCCCGAGTAGCTGGGACTACAGGCGCCCGCCACCATGCCCAGCTAGTATTTTTAGCAGAGACAGGGTTTCACCGTGTTAGCCAGGATGGTCTCAATCTCCTGAACTCGTGATCCGCCTGCCTTGGCCTCCCATAGTGCTGGGATTACAGGCGTGAGCCACCGCGCCTGGTCTTTTTTTTTTTTTTTTTTTTTTTTTTGAGATAGAGTCTTGCCCTGTCTCCCAGGCTGGAGTGCAGCGGCTCGATCTCAGCTCACTGCAACCTCTGCCTCCTGGGTTCCAGTGATTCTCACACCTCAGACTCCCAAGTAGCTGGGATTACAGGCACCTGCCACCATGCCCAGCTAATTTTTGTATTTTTAGTAGAGACAGGGTTTCGCCATGTCGACCAGGCTGGTCTTGAACTCCTGATCTCAAATGATCCGCCTGCCTCAACCTCCCAAAGTGCTGAGATTACAGGCATGAGCCACTGCACCTGGCCAAAATTTTTTATCTTTAATAAAATCATATAGGAACTGAGTTTTTAAAGAGTCCAATAGAAGAAAAAGGCTTAGAGGAAAGACAGCCGCCTTCTGCTCCCCAACTCCCTACCCAAGTCCTGCTTCTCAGATCCAACCACTTTGAACTCCTTTTTAGCTATTTTTTTCTGGTATTTATCCCCATATCTCCAATAACAGGTTTATATCAGCACTTCTTAAAATTTCAGTTGCAGATATTACCAATGGGCTTCCTTGGAGGAACTTGAGGATTTATGAACTTGGAGGATTTAACTGTCTTACCTCACCTCTTTCCTTGCCTTCTCAACATCTTTTTTTTTTTTTTTTTTGAGATGGAGTTTCGCTCTTGTTGCACAGGCTGGAGTGCAATGGCATAATCTCAGCTCACCACAACCTCCAAGGCCTCCCGGTTTCAAGCGATTCTCCTGCCTCAGCCTCCTGAGTAGCTGGGATTACAGGCATGCGCCACCACGTCCGGCTAATTTTGTATTTTTGGTAGACACAGGGTTTCTCCATGCTGGCCAGGCTGGTCTTGAACATCCGACCTCAGGTGATCCGCCCCCCTCAGCCTCCCAAAGTGCTGGGATTACAAGCATGAGCCACCGAGCCCTGCCCTTCTCAAGGTCTTTTAACACAATTTTGGCTAAAGCCTTATTTAGTGTCTTCCTTATGATGGCTATGTAGGTATCAGTGACAACTACATGTATTTCCCTTTTGTTTTCCCTGGAGTGAACGTCTTCTTTTTTTCACGTGCTCAGCTTTGTTGGAATCTGTGAGTCTTCCCACACTCTCCAGCAACTCTGTAAACCCGTCCTAATCCAATTTTCCGCATAGTCAAACTTGCCGGCTAGTTCCTCGGTTCTGTGTTTTCTTTGTGGGCCCCTCTGCAGCCCCTCACCCCACCTGGACAGGCTGCTCTCCCAGCCGCCGCAAGGTTCCCTTGCTGAAACTTTCCTTTGCTGTCCTCCTGGGAACGCCAAAGAGAATTGTTTTATAACTATTTTTATACCTTTCAAAAGCCCTACCTGTTCATTGTAGAAAAACTAAAAAGGCACAAGAAAGAAAAATAAAGGTGATATATAATTTTTCTACCCAAACATAACCATTGACATTTTGGTAGATATCTTCTTGGTCTTTTTCTACACATTGGTATACATCAAAGAGGGTAGAGCGTGGGGGAAGCAGGGGGGGAAATGCTATTTTGAAAACAAAGCTCAGGGGTGCTGCATTCCTGCCCCGGAAGAGCAGCAGGAAGATTCCGCTGTGGAGGCAAATAGCTTGTCGGGCCTCATCCGTAGATGAATAGCAAAAGTGCCGCCTGCCCCAGGACACGGTTAACAGAGCACAAGCAGAGAAAACGTTTTTGAAAAAACAGAGGAATCAAATGCTTTGCCAGGAGGCAGTGGTAGGAATTAAGACGTTGAAGACCCACAGCATGCAAGGGATGAAGTGTCTAGAGTCGCATAGTCCACTATGGTAGTCACTAGCCTCATGAAGCTATTTATTTATTATTAATTAATTAATTATTATTTTTTTTTGAGATGGAGTTTCACTCCTGTTGCCGAGGCTGCAGTGCAATAGCATGATCTCGGCTCACCGCAACCTCTGCCTCCCGGGTTCAGCTGATTCTCCTGCCTCAGCCTCCTGAGTAGCTGGGATTACAGGCATCCGCCACCACACCCGGCTGATTTTGTAAAATTTTTTGTATTTTTAGTAGAGATGGAGTTTCACCATATTGGCCAGGCCAGTCTTGAACTCCAGACCTCAGGTGATCCACCCTCCTCAGCCTCCCAAAGTGCTGGGATTACAAGCATGAGCCACCGCACCCAGCCTATTCTTTAAAGATAGAGTCTCACTCTGTCAACCAGGATGGAGTGCAATAGCACAATCTTGGCTAACTGTAGCCTCCACCTCCCGGGTTCAAGCGATTCTCCTGCCTCAGCCTCCAGATTGGCTGGGATTACAGGCATGTGCCACCACGCCCAGCTGATTTTTTTTATTTTTAGTAGAGACGGGGTTTCACCATGTTGGCCAGGCTGGTCTCGAACTCCTGACCTTAAGTGATCCGCCCTTGAGGTGGAAATATCTTCATTTGACACAGCAGGCATGTGAAAAAATAAATAGGCCTGGCACCGTGGCTCACGCCTACAATCCCAGCACTTTGGGAGGCGAAGTGGGAGGTTCGATTGAGCCCAAGAGTTCGAGACCAGCCTAGGCAACATGGTGAAACCCCATTTTTACCCAGGAGGACGAGGCTGCAGTGAGTGAGCAACACCTGGGCACTCGAATCTGGGTGGCAGAGCAAGACTCTGTTGCAAATAACTAACTAAATGAGACATATCTTCAGGCAAGAGAATGGCAGGTGGTTATTTTGGACAGTGATGTCCAATGTTCAATTTTGAGCCGTATTGCACACTGTAGTGTGTTGTGGTTCTCTACCTCAAATCTTCAGTAAAGGCCAGGGGCGGTGGCTCATGACTGTAATCCCAGCATATTGGGAGGCCAAGGCGGGCAGATCACTTGAGGTCAGGAGATCGAGACCAGCCTGGCCAACATGGTGAAACCCCATCTGTACTAAAAATACAAAAATTTGCTGGGTGTGGTGACATGCTCCTGTAGTCCCAGCTACTCAGGAGGCTGAGGCAGGAGAATCGCTTCAACCGGGGAGGTGGAGGTTGCTGTGAGCCAAGATCGTGCCATTGCACCCCAGCCTGGTGACAGAGCGAGACTCCGCCTCAAAAAAAAAAAAAAAAAAACACACTTCAATAAAGTCTGCTGCACACGTGGTTTGAGAGAAATGGTAGAGTGTTTGGGAGGAATGAAGGAATGAGGTGGCACAGTGAGAAACAGCATGGTGGGAAAGTAGAATAGGAGTGACAGAGTAAAGACTGAGAACCTCCAAGCATTCAACAATGAGCTAGCTCCTTGAAAAATCTTAGGAATTTTTTTTTCCTTTGTAGAGACAGGGTCTTGCTCTGTCACCCAGGCTGGAATGCAGTGGTGCCATCACAGCTCACTGGAGCCTTGGCCTCCTGGGCTCAAGCGATCTTCCCACCTCAGCCTCCTAAGCAGCTGAGACTACAGGTGTGTGCCACCACTCTCAGCTAATTAAAAAAAAAATGTTGTGTGTGGAAATGGGGTCTCACTGTGCTGCCCAGGCTGGTCTCCAACTCCTAGGCTAAAGCGATGCTCCCACCTCGGCCCCCCAAAGTGTTGGGATTACAGGCATTAGCCACTGTGCCTGTTCTAGGCACACATAATCTATGCAACTGAAAGATTACCAAGTCCCTGGAAGGGCGAGAGGAGCAGACTCAAGGTTTGCTTTCAGGAATGACTCCCAGAACACTCCCAATGGAGTCATTATCTGTCACCCACAGGAACGCTGAGTTGTAGGACATTCTGTTCTAGCGACAATCCAGGTACCAGGAAGCTGGGCCCAAGAGGTTGCTGCCACCCACCGCCCCCACCTATACACTAGAATGTGGAATTCTGCCACTGCTACCTCCACAGTTTCTCTCAATATCCTCAAACCTGGAGACTTGACATGGGCATCTCATGGCCTTCTTGCCAAAAGCAAACAGCTGAGAGCAAAAAGAACACAGCACGACCTCCTTCCCTTCCCCTCCCTTCCCCTCCCTTCCCTTCATCTCGTCTCTTCTAGTCTCTTTCCTCCCCTCCCTTCTTCTTCTCTTCTTTTCTCTTTTTTTTCCTGAGACAGAGTTTCACTCCTGTTGTCCAGGCTGGAGTGCAGTGGTGCGATCTCGGCTCACCGCAACCTCCGCCTTCTGGGTTTAAGTGATTCTCCTGCCTCAGCCTCCCGAGTAGCTGGGATTACAGGTGCCCACCACCACACCCAGCTAATTTTTGTATTTTTAGTAGAGGTGGAGTTTCACCATGTTGGCCTGGCTGGTCTTGAACTCCTGACCTCAGGTGATCCACCAGCCTCGGCCTTCCAAAGTGCTGGGATTACCGGCGTGAGCCACCTCACCCAGCCCACTTCCACTTTTCAGATCTCGAAGGAATGCATTTATTAATAAGTATCAACCTAGAACCCAGGCTGCGCCCAGAATCCAAGCTGCATGCAATCTGGGAAGGGCAGCTTTCTCCTTCCAGCCTCCACAGCACAGAAAGGCCCGCTGGAAGAGCTGCCGAGGCTCACCCTACGCCATCCAGCAGAGGCTGGTCACCTCTAGGAAATCTCACGGTCTCTGTTATGCGCAGAGCTATTTTTGTCCTTCCTACTTTCTATAGTCCTTTCTTCTAATAATAAAAGGTTTTCCTTTGAGGAGCCACCTCTCTCCTACTTGCAATGCATATGGTTGGGTGCAGCTGACACCATGCCCCAGTTCCAGGGGAGTGCACAGGTACCTACCCTGGGTAACTAGTATACTCCATCTCCTGCCTGTAATCCCAGCACTTTGGGAGGCCAAGGCAGGTGGATCACCTGAGGTCAGGAGTTCAAGACCAGCCTGACCAACATGGTGAAACCCCGTCTTTACTAAAATACAAAAATTAGCTGGGCATGGTGGCAGGTGCCTATAATCCCAGCTACTCAGGAGGCTGAGGCAGGAGAATCACTTGAACCCAGGAGAAGGAGGTTCCAGGGTGCAGAGATCACACCACTGCACTCCAGCCTGGGCAACAGAGTGAAACTCCGTCTCAAAAAAAAAAAAAAAAAAATTAGCTGGGCGTGGTGGCACATGCCTGTAATCTCAGCTACTCAAGAGGGTGAGACACAAGAATCGCTTGAACCTGGGACGTGGAGGTTGCAGTGAGCTGAGACTGCGCCACTGCACTCCAGCCTGAGCAACGGAGCAAGACTCTGTCTCAAAAATAAATAAATAAACTGTAGCAGGACAAGCTGCAGACAAAACCCCTCAGACACCAAGTTAAAGAAGGAAGGGCTTTATTCGGCCGGGAGCTTCTAAAGACTCACGTCTCTGGTTCACTTGTTTATCTGCTGACCGTCCCTCCACTATTGTCCTGTGACCCTGCCAAATCCCCTTCTGCGAGAAACACCCAACAATGTTCAATTAAAAAAAAAAAAAAAAAAGACTCACGTCTCCAACAACTGAGCTCCCCGAGTGAGCAATTCCTGTCCCTTTTAAGGGCTCAAAACTCTAAGGGGGTCTGCGTGAGACGGTCGTGATAGATTGAGCAAGCAGGGGGTACGTGACTGGGGTCTGCATGCACCGGTAATCAGAACGGAACAGAACAGGACAGGGATTTTCACGGTGCTTTTCTATATAACGCCTGTAATCTATAGATAACATAACCGATTAGGTCAGGGGTCGCTTTTCAACCAGGCCCAGGGTGTGGCGCCGGGCTGTCTGCCTGTGGATTTCATTTCTGCCTTTTAGTTTTTACTTTTTCTTTCTTTGGAGGCAGAAATTGGGCATAAGACAATATGAGGGGTGGTCTCCTCCCTTAAAACTAGTATACGCCATCTCCTATTCTCGCTTGGTGTGTAATTCCTCAAAGAATATGTGAAGGGACATGATAGCATATCCCTGGAGACAGCCAAGAAGGGCAGGGATAGCCGTTTATCTCGGACTGCTGGGATATTTACCAACCTAGAAGCCAGGGGCAGAATACTATGATTCACTGTCATTTTCTGCTCTAAGATTTGGCAATTGTCCAGTCTCAGTAATCCAGATGAGCCAATTATTCAACAGCTATCTTTCAGAATTTCTTTTTTTTTTGAGACGGAGTTTCACTCTTATTGCCCAAGCTGGAGTGCAGTGGTGCAATCTCGGCTCTCTGCAACCTCCGCCTCCCGGGTTCAAGCGATTCTCCTGCCTCAGCCTCTCCAGTAGCTGGGATTATAGGTGTGCGCCACCATGCCTGGCTAATTTTTTGTATTTTTAGTAGAAACGGGGTTTCACCATGTTAGCCAGGCTGTCTTGAACTCCAGACCTCAGGTGATCCGCCCGCCTTGGCCTTCGAAAGTGCTGGGATTACAGGCGTGAGCTACTGCGCCCGGTCTCTTTCAGAATTTCAAACTGTCTACAAAGAAGACAGTCCTGATTTTATTTTTATTTTTTGGAGACAGTGTCTCATTCTGTCACCCAGGGTGGAGTGCAGTGGTGTGACCATAGCTCACCGTACCCTTGAACTCCTGGGCTCAAGTCATCCTCCTGCCTCAGCCTCCTGAATACCTGCGACCACACGTGTACACCGCTGCATGTGGCTAATTTTTTTTTTTTTTTTTTTTTCTGAGACGGAGTCTCGCTCTGTCGCCCAGGCTGGAGTGCAGTGGCGCTATCTCGGCTCATTGCAAGCTCCACCTCCCGGGTTCATGCCCTTCTCCCGCCTCAGCCTCCCGAGTAGCTGGGACTACAGGCGCCCGCCACCACGCCCAGCTAATTTTGTTTTTGTATTTTTAGTAGAGACAGGTTTCACCGTGTTAGCCAGGATGGTCTTGATCTCCTGATCTCGTGATCCGCCTGCCTCAGCCTCCCAAAGTGCTGGGATTACAGAAGTGAGCCACCATGCCCAGCCTATTTTATTTTATTTTTGAGACGGAGTCTCGCCCTGTTGCCCAGGCTGGAGTGCAATGGCATGATTTCGGCTAAGTGCAACCTACACCTCCAGGTTCAAATGATTCTCCTGCCTCAGCCTCCCAAGTAGCTGGGATTACAGGCGCCCACGACCACGCCCAGTTAATTTTTGTATTTTTAGTAGAGACGAGGTTTCACCGTGTTGGCCAGGCTGGTCTCAAACTCCTGACCTTGTGATCTGCCTGCCTCAGACTCCCAAAGTGCTGGGATTACAGATGTGAGCCACTGCGCCCGGCCTAATTTTTGTATTTTTAGTTCGAGATGGGGTTTCACCAAGTTGGCCAGGCTGGTCTCAAACTCCTCGCCTCAAGTAATCCACCCGCCTTGGCCTCTCAAAGTCCTGGGATTATAGGCGTAAGCCACCGCGCCGGCCAGGACAGATGATCTCTAATGGCAAAGCTCTGAGATCGTGTTTGAGCTCATGATCCAAAGTCACCAAGAAGGTGTCAGCTCTAATGTTTTTCTGGGGGAGTAAATCAGAAGGGAAAGTGAATGCTCTCAGTTAAAGAAGGGGCTTGCTCCTGAGATCTTTGGGCGCTTCCTGTATTCATGGGAGTCTTCCTGTCCATTTGTTTCCTTCTTGCTCTCAAACTTAAGGCTTCAGGGCAGGAACTGGCACATGTGAGACCCAAAGCCATTCTCATGATCAGGACCTTGAATTCTGCTGAGTCCTGCCGCGGTTAGAGTCCAAGGGTTGAAGACCAGCCTTTCCCAGCGGCTGATCAGGGCCTTTTACCGGCCCAGCCCAAGCGACTACTTGGCAGTGGACTTTGTGTAATCTATTGTTAGTTGCCCCAGAAGTGCCACTTTGGCTGACACCCTCATCCACACCAGGCCCCACAGCCCACAGGGCCTGTGACCTCTGAGTCTGTCTGTCGTCAAGGGCAACTCTCCTAGAGGATTTTCCAGGCTGAGCCACTTAAGAGAGGTGTCACGAGGGCAAGCCTCACTTCTGAAAAGAATGTTGACTAGGGAAGCCTGATGGGAAGAGAAGAGGGGCATGTGGGAAGAAGCAGAGGCAATGAGTGGGGGAGGAGAGTGAGGAATTCTGGAGTTACCCAAAAGGAAGAAAAAGGCTTGAACTTACGAAATGAAACAAAGCATGGCTTCCAAGAAATCTAGTTTGGCCCAGGAAGATCCTTAAGTGAAAAATAGATTAAAATGTGGTTGGGCGCGGTGGCTCACGCCTGTCATCCCAGCACTTTGGGAGGCCGAGGTGGGCGGATCACCTGAGGTGGAGAATTCAAGACCAGCCTGGCCAACATGATGAAACCCCCATCTCTTCTAAAAATACAAAAAAATTAGCCAGACACGGTGACATGCACCTGTAATCCCAGCTACTCTGGAGGCTGAGGCAGGAGAATCTCTTGAACCCAGAAGGTGGAGGTTGCAGTGAGATGAGATCGTGCCACTGCACTCAGTCTGGGCGATAGAGCTTCGTCTCAAAATAAATAAATAAACAAAAAAAGATTAAAATGTACAGAATGTCACATCATGTTGTACACAATAAGTACATACAATTTGTTATTTGTTTTGCTTTTTATCTTTTTATTTCTTCAAAGTGGTTTTTTGTTTTGTTTTGTTTTGTTTTGTTTTTAGACAGAGTCTTGCTCTGTCGCCCAGACTGGAGTGCAGTGGCAAGATCTCAGCTCACCGCAACCTCCGTCTGCTGGGTTCAAGTGATTTTCCTGCCTCAGCCTCCTGAGTAGCTAGGACAACAGGCACATACCACCACTCCCAGCTAATTTTTGTATTTTTAGTAGAGACGGGGTTTCACCATATTGGCCAGGCTGGTCTCGAACTCCTGACCTCATGATCTGCCCGCCTCAGCCTCCCAAAGTGCTGGGATTACAGCTGTGAGCCACCACGCCCGGCCTTGTCATAATTTTTAATGACTGTAAGATATTTGATTATGTGAATGTACTATACATATATATGTATATGTGTGTGTGTGTGTATACACATATATGTATATATAGTAGGAGTTTTGCTCTTATTGCCCGGGCTGGAGTGCAATGGCACGATCTCGGCTCACAGCAACCTCTGCCTCCCGGGTTCAAGCGAATCTCTTTCTTCAGCCTCCTGAGTAGCTGGGATTACAGGTATGCACCACCATGCCTGGCTTATTTTGTAATTTTAGTAGACACGAGGTTTCTCCATGTTGGTCAGGCTGGTCTCAAACTCTCAACCTCAGGTGATCTGCCTGCCTTGGCCTCCCAAAGTGCTGGGATTACAGGTGTGAGCCACTGTGCCTGGCCGGAAGTACTATTTTTAACAATCTTCTGTTGCTAGATATTTAAATCATGTCTATTTTCAACTATTATAAACATGCTTCTTTAAACTTCCTGGCATATATATATATCTTTGCACATCTGTCCAATTATTGCCTTCAGATGAATTCCTAAAAGTAGAGGTGCTAGGTTAAATTTTTTTTATGCATATTGACATACTGACCACTTTTCCTACAGAAAGATTGTACCAATTTATTTTCCACCACCATGACTCATGCCTCATCCCCCTTTAAGTTAACAGCTTTGGTACTTTTTGTATTAAGACCATGGCTGGCTGGGCGCTGTGGCTCCTGCCTGTAATCCCAGCATTTTGGGAGGCTGAAGTGGGAGAATCACTTGAGGTCAGCAGTTTGAGACAAGCCTGGCCCACATCTTGAGATCCTGTATTTACAAAAAGTTTAAAAATTAGCTCAGCTTGGCGGCCTCTGCCTATAGCCCCAGTTACTCAGGAGGCTCAGGTGGGAGGATCACCTGTGCTCAGGAGTTCCAGGTTGCAGTAAGCTATGATGGCACCACTGCACTTCAGCCCCTAGGGGACAGAGCTCCTCCTCAGCCTCCGGAAGAGCTGGGACTACAGGCGCCCGCCACCACGCCCGGCTAATTTTTTTTTTTTTTTGTATTTTTAGTAGAGACGGGGTTTCACCATGTTAGCCAGGATGGTCTCTATCTCCTGACCTCGTGATCCGCCTGCCTCAGCCTCCCAAAGTGCTGGGATTATAGGCGTGAACCACCGACCTTTCTTTTTTAACATCATAATTGCATAAGTTTTATCCTTTGGCTCAGCAATTCTACTCATGGGAAAAATTTTAAAGAAAATATCCGGATTACATGCACAAAAAGAGTTTATGCTGAGGCTCACTGCAAATTGTAATCACTTTGTATATGATTATATACACATAAAGAGTTCATACAGGCGTGGTGGCTCAAACCTGTAATCCCAGCACTTTGGGAGGCTAAGGCAGGTGGATTGCTTGAGGTCAGTAGTTCGAGACCAGCCTGACCAACATGGTGAGACCCCGTCTCTACTAAAAAAAAGTACAAAATTAGCCGGGCGTGGTGGCTCACGACTGTAATCCCACCTACTTGGGGAGGCTGAGGCAGGAGAATCACTTGAACCCAGGAGGCAGAGGTTGTAGTGAGCCAAGATGGCGCCACTGCACTCCAGCCTGGGCAACAAGGGTGAAACTCCATCTCAAAAAACAAAACAAAACAAAAAAAACAAACAGTTTATGCCGATAGACTAGATTTTTTTCTGGCTGTCTGAGCAAGCCAATTGCTTTGGACAATCATCACTGTGTCCGGGTGGATTGGAAAGGGCGCCCTTAATTGTCTGAGTCTGTGCTCCAACTTTCTTACTGAGGGAGGAGGGGCGGGTGATGACTTGCAGCTCTGCGGACGGCACAAACCACCGTTGTTCAGACACCCACAGTCTGCACCCTTCTCCTTTTTCACAGGGGGAACCACCTGCCTATGCTGCTGTCTTTACCATCAGCCTCCCCAGCCTCACTTTACCTTCCTCAATGACATCAGGTCTTGGCTCATACACAGCTCTCTGCTCCACCCTGTCTGCCAAAGGTCACTGGTGACATGTGCCCAGATAATTTTGCTGCATTATTTATGAGGCAGGATAATAATTTAAGATGATAACGAGTTTCTTCTTTCCCTTTCTCAAAATCCCTTTTAATCCAAGGCCACCATCCCTCCTAGGATAGAACCAGATAAAAAAAGTCAACAACATCTTGGTTTTTAAACTCACAAGCTGTGCATTCAAGAGTGAGACCAAAAGACTCAGGAAGAGGAGAAACAATTCTCCGCACCTCCGCTCCAGATAAGGTTTCATTAGAGAGGGAAGACAGGTGGGGCATTGGAAGAGGAAGCGAAAGAACAGGAACTGCGCACCCAGCCCCATCTGAAGTTCAATAAACCTCTTTTAAGTGGATTGAAAAGATCTTGATTCCTGGGGAAGCCCCAGGAGGGCAGTAAGCCCCAGAGGCAGATCTCCTACCATGATGGCATGGACACTGTGGAATAGAAATGGTAGCTTGGCATGTCTAGGCTTGAGATTAGAAACAGATTCTTGGCCGGGCACAGTGGCTCACGCCTGTAATTCCAGCACTTTGGGAGACCGAGGCAGGTGGATCACGAGATCAGGAGTTCGAGACCAGCCTGGCCAACATGGTGAAACCCCGTCTCTACTAAAAAATACAAAAATTAGTTGGGCATGGTGGCAGGTGCCTGTAATCCCAGCTACTGGGGAGGCTGAGGCAGGAGGATCACTTGAACCCAGGAGGCAGAGGTTGCAGTGAGCCAAGATCATGTCATGGCACTCCAGCCTGGGCGACAGAGCAAGACTCTGTCTCAAAACAAAAACAAAAAGAAACAGGTTCTTCCAGCTTCTACATTCTACTTCTTTAGAGAGGGGCGATCTCATGGCTGTGATAAGAGAATGCCACATGGATGGATGAGGATGTGGCTACACAGCAGGTTATCCACACTCAAGGCAGATCCTTCCTGCCTCCCACTCACACATTCCCTCAATGCTGCCTTCCTACCTTCTTCTACCCCAGCCTGAGACAGACAGGGATGGCTCACCTGGTATACCTGGAACAGGAGACCACCATGGAACGAGGCTGACAAAGATCAAGAAGCCTCCCCATTGGCTCTTTGGTGACATTTACATAACTCCCTCAGCAACAGAGTGGTGAGGACTTGAGAACAGCAGAATCTGATTAAGACAGTTTACCTGGGCCGAGCACGGTGGCTCACACCTGTAATCCCAGCACTTTGGGAGGCTGAGGTGCCTGTAGTCCCAGCTACTCGGGAGGCTGAGGCACGAGAATGGCATGAACCCAGGAGGCGGAGCTTGCAGTGAGCCGACATCGCACCACTGCACTCCAGCCTGGGTGACAGAGCGAGACTCCATCTCAAAAAAAAAAAAAAAAAAAAAAATATATATATATACACACACACACACACACACACACACACACACACACACAAACACTGAGTTTACTTGGAAGTGACTTGATTATGTTCTTTGCTTCCAGAGACCTGGGGCTTAAGAAAGACATTTAGTTCAGTTATAGAAAAATAAAGTCCATGCAACTGTGAAATTTGAGTCTCCTTTGATGACAGTGAACAAATGGAAAAGCGGGGATCCAACAATAACCCTGCAGTATTAAGCAAGGTTTTTTGTTGTTGTTGTTTTCTTTGAGACGAGGTCTCACTCTGTCGCTCAGGCTGGACTGCAGCGGCACCATCTCAGATGACTGCAGCCCTGAGGCTTCCCAGGCTGAAGCGATTCTCCTGCCTCAGCCTCCTGAGTAGCTGGGACTACAGGCATGTGCCACCACGCCTAGCTAATTTTTGTATGTTTTGTAGAGACAGGGTTTTGCTATGCTGCCCAGGTTGGTCTCAACCTCCTGGGCTCAAGTGATCTGCCTGTCTCAACCTCCCAAAGTGCTGGGATTACAGGCATGAGCCATTGTGCCCGGCCTATGCAAGTATTTAATATTTACAAATACTACACACTAACATAGAAATCTTTATGATACAGTGTTATGTGAAAAAGCAGGACGTGTGTGCCCTTATAAATTACAACAATGTTTGTCTTTTTTTTTTTGAGATGGAGTCTTTCTCTGTCTTCCAGACTAGAGTGCAGTGGCACGATCTCGGCTCACTGTAACCTCTGCCTCCCAGGTTCAAGCGATTCTCCTGCCTCTGCCTCCTGAGTAGCTAGGATTATAGGCGCCCACCACCATGCCCGGCTAATGTTTGTATTTTTAGTAGAGACTGGGTTTCCGCATGTTGGCCAGGCTGTTCTTGAACTCCTGACCTCAAGTGATCTGCCTGCTTGGGCCTCCCAAAGTGCTGGGATTACAGGCATGAGACTGCACACGGCCTAAATTATGACAATGTTTAGAAGAGGCTGGGCATGGTGGCTCGTGCCTGTAATCCCAACACTTTAGGAGACCAAGGTGGGAGGATCACTTGAGCCAAGAAGTTTGAGACCAACCTAGGTAACAGAGCAAGACCCCGTCTCTACAAAAAAAGAAAAAAAAAACAGCTGGGCATGGTGGCACACACCTGTAGTCCCAGCTACTCAGGAGGTTAAGATGGGAGAACCACTTGAGCCCAGGAGTTCAAGGCTGCAGTGAGCTATGATGACACCACTATACTTCAGCCTCAGTGACAGAACGAGACCTTGTTTCTATTAAAACAAAACAGGGCCGGGCGTGGTGTAATCCCAGTATCACGCCTGTAATCCCAGCACTTTGGGAGGCCGAGGCGGGCGGATCACGAGGTCAGGAGATTGAGACCATCCTGGTTAACACGGTGAAACCCCGTCTCTACTAAAAATACAAAAAATTAGCCAGGCGTGGTGGCGGGCACCTGTAGTCCCAGCTACTCAGGAGGCTGAGGCAGGAGAATGGCATGAACCCGGGAGGCAGAGCTTGCAGTGAGCAGAGACTGCGCCACTGCACTCCAGCCTGGGGGACAGAGCAAGACTCCGTCTCGAAAAAAAAAAAACAACAACAGACCAGGTGCGGTGGCTCACGCTGTAACCCCAACACTTTGGGAGGCCGAGGTGGGCAGATCACGAGGTAAAGAGATAGAGACCATCCTGGCCCACATCGTGAAACTCCTTCTCTACTATAAATACAAAAATTAGCCAGGTGTAGTGGCACGTGCCTGTAGTCCCAGCTACTCAGGAGGCAGAGCCAGGGAAATGTTTTGAACCCTGAAAGCGAAGGTTGTAGTGAGCCTAGATCATGCCACTGCACTCCAGCTTGGCAACAGAGCCAGCTCTGTCTCAAAAAAAAGAAAAAAGAAACCACAAAGCAAAACAAAAGAAGCAAAAGCAATGTTTAAAAGAAAACCCTCAAAACATAGTTGAAATAAAATTTGGGACTAGACCAAAATGTTAAGTGGTTGTCTTTGGGAAGCTGTGGGTAATTTTTTTCCTCTATGAACATGTAGGTGTGTATGCATGTATGTGTGTATGCATGTACGTGTGTATGCATGTGTGCATGCATGTACGTGTGCATGCATGTATGTATGCATGCATGCGTGTATGCGTGCATGCATGTGTGCATGTATGCACGTATGTACACACGTATTTATTTTTGAGACAGCCTGAGATCTGTCGCCCAGGCTGTAGTGCAATGGCACGATCATGGCTCACTGCAGCCTTGACAACGTGGGCTCAAGCGATCCTCCCACCTCAGCCTCCTGAGTAGCTGGGACTATAGGCACACACCACCATACTCGGCTTGTTTTTTAATTTTTTTGTAGAGACAGGGTCTTGCCATGTTGTGCAGGCTGATCTTGAACTCCTGGCCTTAAATGATCCTCCTGCCTCAGCCTCCCAAAGTGCTGGGATTACAGGCATGAGCCACCATGCCCAGCCCATGTATTTCTTTTTGCAGGCTGAGTATCCCTTATCTGCAATGTTTGCAACCAGAAGTGTTTCAGATTTCAGATTTTTTTCCAGATTTTGGAATATTTGCATTATATTTATGTGTTGAACATCCCAAATCCAAAAATTCAAAATCTGAAATGCTGCAGTGAGCATTTTCCTTGAGTGTCATGTTGGTGCTCAAAAGTTTTGGATTTTGAAACATTTCGGGTTTCAGATTTTGGGATTTGGGATGCTCAACCTGTAATGAAATGTATGCATAAAATATATATGTATTATATATTTAACATATACATATTTAAATATGTACTTGTGTGTTATTTTAAGCATGGTTTGGATCCATGGCCTAAAGCTTCGAAGAAGCTGGAGAAAAGCAGGGTAAAAGGGATTATGCAGGCCCCGTTTAGTATCATCCTGCTCAGTCAGTCATCAGTTGTCTCCTTCCTCTTGCTTCGTAGGTAAATGTTGGGTGATGTCATGGACAGCACGAACCAAGAAATGGCAGACCGTGATGAATAGGAGCCTTTGTTCATAGGAAAGACAGGAAACCCACGTACTACTTTACATTTTAAGTCAGGAGTTCTCAAAGTGTCATCCTCAGATCAGCAGCCTCAGCACTGCTTGTTAGAAATGCAACTTCTCGGCAGGGCACAGTGGCTCATGCCTGTAATCCCAGCACTTTGGGAGGCCGACGCAGGTGGATCACGAGGTCAGGAGATTGAGACAAGCCTGGCCAACATGGAGAAACCCCATCTCTACTAAAAATATAAAATTAGCCGGGTGTGGTGGCACATGCCTGTAATCCCAGGTACTCAGGAGGCTGAGGCAGAAGAATCGCTTGAACCCAGGGGGCGGAGGTTGCAGTGAGCCGAGATCGCACCACTGCATTCCAGCCTGGGCAACAGACCAAGACTCCATCTCAAAAAAAGAAATGCAAGTTCTCTGGCTCCAGCCCAGACCCACTGAATCAGCAACTCTGGGGCTAGGACCCAGCAATGTGTATTTAATATTTAATAAGCCTTCCAGAGAATTCTGCTAAAGTTTGACAATGACATTCTTTTTTTTTTATCAAGTTTTTTCAGTAAACTTATTTTTTTAGTAAACAGTTTTATATTTACAGAAAAATGGCAAAGATGGTAAGTACAAAAAGTTCCATATCCTCTGCACTCAGTTTCCCTATTAACATCTTACATTTGGATAACTGCTTTTCTGATTAATAATCATGGAATAGCTGGCTTTAGTCACTGGAGTAGATACCAATATGGAGGCTGGAAGGAACTAAGAACTATGTTTATCATCATTTTTACCACCACCTCTACCATGAAGTGGTGATATGTTATTCATATAATTATTCCTATTTTATTTGAATTATTTATTTCATTTGATTCTCAATATATGCCTGTGAAGTAGGCCAAGGAAGTTATCCCCACCTTACAGCTGAAAAAAACTGAGGACCAGAAAGATCACACAATTACTAATAATCATGGCTGATATATTTTTGTCTATTTGATTGTTTTTGTTTGTTGTTTTGTTTTGAGACAGGGTCTCATTCAGTTGCCCAGACTGGAGCATAGCGGCACAATCTTGGATCACTGCAGCCTCAACCTCCTGGACTCAAGTGATCCTCTTGCCTCAGCCTCCTGAGTAGCTGGGACTACAGGTGTGCACCACCACGTCCTGCTAATTTAAATTTTTTTTTTGTAGAAGCAGGGTCTCCCTATGTTGCCCAGGCTGGTCCCAAACTCCTGGACTCAAGCAATCCTCCTGCCTCAGCCTCCCAAAGTACTGGCATTACAGGTGTGAGTCACTGCGCCTGGCCGACATGGCTGATGTTTATTAAACATTTCCAATAAGGCAAGTCTTATTGATAATACACCAATAATATGTTAACAATTTATATGTATTATCTCATTTAAACCTCAAACTAGCATAGAAGTTTTTATATAAATACAAATTTAAAAGGGGCCGGTCGTGGTGGCTCACGCCTATAATCCCAGCAATTTGGGAGGCCGAGGCGGGCGGATCACCTGAGGTCAGCAGTTAAAGACCAGCCTGACCAACATGGACAAACCCCATCTCTACTAAAAATACAAAATTAGTCAGGCGTGGTGGCGTGTGCCTGTAATCCCAGCTACTCAGGAGGCTGAGGCAGGAGAATCACTTGAACCCGCGAGGCAGAAGTTGCGGTGAGCCAAGATTGAGCCCCTGCACTCCAGCCTGGGCAACAAGAGTGAAACTCCGTCTCAAAAACAACAAAAACAAAAACAAAACAAAAAATTAAAAGGAAATAAAAATAATTTTAAAAAACCTCAAACTAATCTTAAATGCTACTATTACATCTTCATTTTACAGACAAGCAAACTGAGGCCCAGAAAGACTAAGAAACTTACCCTTGGACATACGACTTGAAATAAAGGAAACAAATCAAATCTGAGAAGTCTGACTTCGAGCCCTCCATGCACAGCCATTAAACTATACGGTAACTATGGTGGCTGAATTCCCTTTCCCAGAATCCCCTTTCCCAGAGTTCCCTTTCCTGTTCATTTCCAGTTAGCATGGGCCACAAATGATTCTTTTTTTTTTTTTTCGCCCCTGAACCCAATTGAAAACTACACAAGAGAGTCCTGTGAGAGACTGGAGGGCTGAATTGAAGCAGCAGCCGTTCCGCAGCTGACAGTGCTGGTTATCTGATGCCTCAACTCATTGGCAAGAGGCAGCAGCTACACCTGTAATTGCTTCACCTTCTCCTGAATCTTCCTTCAGCTTCTCTTACTCCTGGACCAGGTGTCAGTGTTTATATCTCTGGGCAAAGAGCCCTGGTTTCTCCTGGATGCCCACACCACCAACATTAGAAGCAACAAGAACTGACGCGGTCTCCAGCCTGCCCTCATGGGCTCCAGTTTATGCTAGTGAGTTCCAGCTCATTCTCCACTTTACCAACTGCCTGCCCCGGGGACCTCAAACTCCAGCATCAGATATGAAGACAACAACGGTGTAGAAACTGCTTAACCAGCAGCCTTCACTTTGCATGGCCATGCAGGACCACAGATAGGACCGTGCAAGCTGAAACCATGCAGAGCAATCTTTTTTTTTTTTTTTTTTTTTTTTTGGATACAGAGTCTCGCTCTGTTGCCCATGCTGGAGTGCAGTGGCACAATCTCGGCTCACTGCAACCTCTGCCTCCTGGGTTCAAGTGATTCTTCTGCCTCAGCCTTCCAAGTAGCTGGGATTACAGGAGTGCGCTACCACGCCCAGTTAATTTTTGTATTTTTAGTAGAGATGGGGTTTCACTATATTGGCCAGGCTGATCTTGAACTCCTGACCTTGTGATCCATCTACCTCAGCCTCTCAAAGTGCTACGATTACACCACGCCCGGCCTTTTTTTTTGTTTTTGTTTTTGTTTTTTGAGACGGAGTCCCACTCTGTCACCCAGGCTGGAATGCAGTGGCGCCATCTCGGCTCACTTTAACCTCCACCTCCCAGGTTCAAGCGATTCTCCTGCCTCTGCCTCCTGATTAGTGGGACTACAGGTTGCCGCCCCCACGCCCGGCTAATTTTTTGTATTTTTAGTAGAGACGGGGTTTCACCGTGTTAGCCAGGATGGTCTCCATCTCCTGACCGCCTGCCTCGGCCTCCCAAAGTGCTGAGATTACAGGCATAAGCCACCACGCCCGGCCGCAAAGCAATCTTAATAATCAATGAGAAAATGTATGATTGCTCTGTGACCTTTAAATATTTTGGTCAAAACATTAAAAACTCTCTTACTGTCAGTTGTAAATATATAGGAATTTTTTCTTTGATTAAAAAAAATAGAGATAGGGGTTTCACCATGTTGTCCAGCCTGGTCTCGAACTCCTGAGCTCAAGTGATCTGCCCACCTCGGCCTCCCAGAGTGCTGGGATTACAGGCGTGAGCATGCCTGGCTGGAAAAAAATTTTTAAGTGCAGCTGATATTTATTTAGTACCTCTTTTCATTCATGATAAAGGTTATTTAAACCTTTTTTCTTTCTCTTGGCCGGGCACGGTGGCTTACGCCTGTAATCCCAGCAATTTGGGAGGCTGAGGTGGGTGGATCGCTTGAGATCAGGAGTTTGAGACCAGCCTGGCCAACATAGTGAAACCCCGTCTCTACTAAAAAAATACAAAAGTTAGCCAGGTGTGGTGGTACACACCTGTAATCCCAACTATTTGGGAAGCTGAGGCAGGAGAATTGCTTGAACCCAGGAGGCAGAGGTTGCAGTGAGCAGAGATTGTGCCACTGCACTCTAGCCTGAGTGACAGAATGAGACTCCGTCTCAAAAAAAAAAAACAAACAAAAAAAAAAACCTTTTGTCTTTTTCTTAACCAGCTATGCCAGGGGGTTGGCAATTACTCTTTTCAAAATACGAGATGCAGTTGTTTTCAGATATATCCACAAATCCTTTTCTTTTTTTTGAGACAGAGTCTCGCTCTGTCGCCCAGGCTGGAGTGCAGTGAGCCACCGCTTCTTATAATATACACCTTAAATATAAGGATGCAGAAAGGCACATCATTCACTCAAAAACAGAAATATTAATAATAATAATTTAAAAATCGGCAAGGCCGGGTGCGGTGGCTCACGCCTGTAATCCCAGCGCTTTGGGAGGCCGAGGCGGGCGGATCGCGGGGTCAGGAGATCGAGACCATCCTGGCTAACACGGTAAAACCCCATCTCTACTAAAAATACAAAAAATTAGCCGGGCGTGGTGGTGGGAGCCTGTAGTCCCAACTCCGGAGGCTGAGGCAGGAGAATGGCATGAACCCGGGAGGCGGAACTTGCAGTGAGCCAAGATCACGCCACTGCACTCCAGCCTGGGCGACAGAGGGAGACAAATGAAGGTATACAAATGGCCAAGAAACACATGAAAAGATGCTCAACATCACTAATCGTTAAGGAAATGTAAATCAAAACCTCATTCCCATTAGGATGGCCACTACAGGAAAAAAAAAAAAAAACACACACAGAAAATTAAGTGTTGGAGAGAATGTGGAAACATTGGAACTCTCGTGTACTCTTGGTGGGAATGTAAGCGGTTAAAAGTAGCAGGGCAGTTTGTTTGTTTGTTTTGAGATGGAGTCTCTATCTGTCGCCCAGGCTGGAGTGAAGTGGTACAATCTCAGCTCACTTCAACCTCCAACTCTCAGGCTCGAGCAATTCTCGTGCCTCAGCGTCCTGAGTAGCTGGGATTACAGGCAGGCGCCACCACGCCTGGCTAGTTTTTGTGGGGTTTTTTTTGTTTTTTTTTTTAGTAGAGACGGGGTTTCGCCATGTTGACCAGGCTGGTGTCAAGCTCCTGGCCTCAAGTAATTCACCCGCCTCAGCCTCCCAAAGTGTTGGGATTACAGGCCCCACCACCACGCCCAGCCAGTTCCTTAAATATTTTTATATGACATTACAAACCACTTTATTTCAGGAATTTCTACATATTGTAGAAACAGGCACAAGCTGGCAAAAAGAAAATTATCACAAGAAGAAAAGATGAATGGTAAAGAATGTCCCAAGAAAGAAATATTAATGAAATTAAATCCATTCCCACAAAGTAATTCCAGGCCCAGATGGCTTTATCATTGAATTCTACCAAAATACTTAAGGAAGAAAGAATGCTACTTTTATACTAACTTCATACCTGGGCCTCAATTTTCTCATCTGTATAAGGCAGATGTTGGACCACCTAAACTCAAAAGTTTCACTCTTGGCTGCTTACAGGGGACTCCTGGGGCAAGAGCAAAGTTGAAGATATTTCACTTTGAAAAAGGCTTCACAATTCTGTGGTTTGGTATGGCCGGGTGCAGTGGCTCATGCCTGTAATCCCAGCACTTTGGGAGACCAAGGTGGGAAGATCGCTTGAGCCCAGAAGTTCAAGACCAGCCTGGGCAACATAGTGAGACTCCGTCTCAAAAAAAAAAACATTGTGTGGTTCGGTACTGGCTGATCATCAGTGGATGAGTGAAAGCTGCCTGGGCTCCATTCTCCGTGGTCTGTAATCTGCAATGGATGTTCCCATGTGAACTGAAGTGGGTCCTCCTCCAGGGGTCCTATTGAGAGGTGACAGCGTGCTGGCAGCCCTAGCTTGCTCTGGGTGCCTCCTCGGCCTCGGTGCCCATTCTGGCCGCGCTTGAGCCCTTCAGCCCGCCGCTGCACCGTGGGAGCCCTACTCTGGGCTGGCCAAGGCCGGAGCCAGCTCCCTCAGCTTGCAGGGAGGTGTGGAGGGAAAGGCGCGGGCGGGAACCCGGGCTGCACGCGGCGCTTGCAGGCCAGCATGAGTTCCGGGTGGGCGTGGGCTGGGCGGGCCCGGCACTCTGAGCAGCCGGCTGGCCTGCCCCGCCAGCCCGGGCAGTGAGGGGCTTAGCACCTGGGCCAGCAGCTGCTGTGGTCGGTTTCTCGCCGGGCCTTAGCTGCCTCCCTGCGGGGCAGGGCTCGGGACCTGCAGTCCGCCATGCCTGCATCTCCAACCCACCCCCCACGCTGGGCTCCTGCGCGGCTTGAGCCTCCCTGAGGAGTGCCGCTCCCTGCTCCACAGCGCCCAATCCCATCGACCGCCCAAGGGCTGAGGAGTGTGGGCGCAGGGCGCGGGACTGGCAGGCAGCTCCACCTGCGGCCCCAGTGAGCAATCCAGGGGGAGAGGCCAGCTGGGCTCCTGAGTCTAGTGGGTACTTGGAGAGGCTTTGTGTTTAGCTAAGGGATTGTGAGTGCACCAATCAACACTCTGTGTCTAGCTCAAGGTTTGTGAACACACCAATCAGCACCCTGTGTCTAGCTCAGGGTTTGTGGATGCACCAATCAGCACTCTGTATCTAGCTAATCTGGTGGGGACTTGGAGAATCTTTATGTCTAGCTAAGGGATTGTGAATGCATCAATCAGCACTCTGTGTCTAGCTCAAGGTTTGTAAATGCACCAATCAGCACTCTGTGTCTTGCTCAGGGTTTGTAAATACACCAGTCAGCACTCTGTATCTAGCTAATCTAGTGGGGACTTGGAGAACTTTTGCGTCTAGCTCAGGGATTGTAAATGCACCAATCAGCACCCTGTCAAAACGGACCAATCAGCTCTCTGTAAAACAAACCAATCGGCTCTCTATAAAATGGACCAATGAGCAGTATGTGGGTGGGGTCAGATAAGAGAATAAAAGCAGGCTGCTTGAGCTAGCAGCAGCAGCAATCTGATTGGGTATCCCTTCACGTTGTGGAAACTTTGTTCTTTTGCTCTTTGCAGTAAATCTTGCTGCTGCTGAGACTTTGGGTCCACACTGCTCTTATGAGCTGTAACACTCATCACAAAGGTCTGCAGCTTCGCTCCTGAAGATAGCAAGACCACAAACCCACTGAGAGGAGGGAACAACTCTACATGTGCCCTCTTAAGACCTATTAACACTCGCCGTGAAGGTCTGTAGCTTCACTCCTGAGCCAGCGTCAGACCACGAACCCACCAGAAGGAAGAAACTCTGAACAAATCTGAACATCAGAAGGAAAAAACTCCAGACACGCCGCCTTTAAGAACTGTAACACTCACCACGAGGCTTCACGGCTTCATTCTTGAAGTCAGTGAGACCAAGAACCCACCAGTTCCGGACACACTATGATCTCCACCACCTCCTTTTCCTCCCAGGGGAGCATAGGAAACTTAAAAGTATCCTGTAAGAAAGCCAGGCGCAGTGGTTCATGCCTCTAATTCCAGCACTTTGGGAGGCTAAGGCAGGCAGATCACCTGAGGTTAGGAGATTGAGACCACCTTGGCCAATATGTGAGCCGAGGTTGTGCTACTGTACTCCCGCCTGGGAGACAGAGCGAGACTCCTCAAAAACAAGGTATCCTGTAAGAACCCCAGGATTAAGGGCAGATGGGGTCTGGAGTGTGATATTAATTTCAAAACTTCAGCTATCCAGAACCTATAGATTTACCTCTCTAAGCACCAAAACTTTTTATTTTTACCATCTTGCTTGGAAACTGCTAAATATATTCTATGCATCTCTTTCTTAGGTATAGGTTAACAAATCTATGTTCTCTGGGTTTTTCTTCAGAATATAGGGTTATAGTGATAAATATCAGTTATTGTAATGTCAGAGAAGCATTTCGGGAAATTAAAATGCATATAATTATCTGCTCCTATACCAACTAAATCTTTCCTTTTTTTTTTTTTTTTTTTTTTTTTTTTTGAGACAGTCCTGCTCTGTTGACCCTGAGTGCTGGAGTGCAGGGACAGGATCATGACTCATCACCCTTGATCTCCCAGGGTCAGTAATCCTCCCACTTCAGCCTCCCCAGTAGCTGGAACTACAGGCTCATACCACCATGCCCAGCTAATTTTTTAATATCTATATCTATATCTATATATATATTTTTTTTTGGTAAAGATGGGGTTTTAAGCATGTTGCCCAGGCTTTTCCAATTTTCTGTGATTTTTGAATTCTCATCTGGCATTAAAATATATATAATCTCTTCAGCCGGACATGGTGGCTCACGCCTGTAATCCCAGCACTTTGGGAGGCCAAGGCAGGTAGATCATTTGAGGTCAGGAGTTCGAGACCAGCCTGGCCAACATGGTGAAACCCCATCTCTACTAAAAATACAAAAAGAATTAGCCTGGTGTTGTGGTGCATGCCTGCAATACCAGCTACTTGGGAGGCTGAGGCAGGAGAATCGCTTGAACCCAGGAAGCGGAGGTTTCGGTGAGCTGAGATCATGCCACTGCGCTCCAGCCTGCATGACAGAGTGATATGTCTCAAACAAAACAAAAACAAAAATCTTCTGTATGTTTCAGGGTGTTTTCAATTACCTTAGGCATTATGTGTTATTTATTTTTATTTTTATTTTTGTTGTTTGTTTGTTTTTAAACAGTGTCGCTCTTATCTCCCAGGCTGGAGTGCAGTGGTGTGATCTTGGCTCACTGCAACCTCCACCCCCCGGGTTCAAGTGATTCTCCTGCCTCAGCCTCCTGAGCAGCTGGGATTACAGGCGCCCACCACCACGCCTGGCTAATTTTTGTACTTTTAGTAGGGATGGGGTTTCTCCATGTTGGCCAGGCTGGTCTGGAACTCCTGATCACTCAGGTGATTTGCCCGCCTCGGCCTCCCAAAGTGCTGGGATTACAGGCGTAAGCCACTGCGCCAGGCCATTTTTATTTATTTATTTATTTATTATTATTATTATTATTCTTCTTACGGAGTCTTGCTCTGTCGCCTAGGCTGGAGTGCAGTGGTGCGATCTCCGCTCACTGCAAGCTCCACCTCCCAGGTTCACGCCATTCTCCTGCCTCAGCCTCCCAAGTAGCTGGGACTACAGGCACCCACCACCGTGCCTGGCTAATTTTTTTTTGTATTTTTAGTAGATGGGATTTCACCATGTTAGCCAGGATGGTCTTGATCTCCTGACCTTGTGATCTGCCCACCTTGGCCTCCCAAAGTGCTGGGATTACAGGCGTGAGCCACTGTGCCCGGCCATTTTTATTGTTTTTTTTAGAGGCGGGGTCTTGCTCTCTTGGCCAGGCTGGAGTGCAATGGCACAATGATAGCTCACTGCAGCCTCGAACTTCTGGGATCAATCAATCCTCCCACCTTAGCTTCTCAAGTACCTAGAATGACAGGTGCATGCCACCACAGTCAGCTAGTTTTTTGTTTGTTTTTTTTTCTTAATTTTTTTGTGGAGACAGGGGTCTCGCTATATTGCCCACGCTGGTCTTCAACTCCTAGGCCTCATGCAATCCTCCCACCTCAGGTTCCTAAAGTGCTGGGATTACAGGTGTGAGCCACCACACCCAGCCTCGGTATTATGTGTTTTTTTAGCAGCTGCTGATCAGACTTTTCTAATCTGCTGCTTCTATTTTCCTGTGAGTTAAGAAAAGAGATAGGGCCGGGTGTGGTGGCTCACGCCTGTAATCCCAGCACTTTGGGAGGCCGAGGTGGGCGGATCATGATGTCAGGAGTTTGAGACCAGCCTGACCAACATGGTGAAAACCCGTCTCTACTAAAAATGGAAAAATTAGCCAGGTGTGGTGGTGTATGCCTGTAATCCCAGCTACTCAAGAGGGTGAGATAGGAGAATTGCTTGAACCTGGGAGGTGGAGGTTGCAGTGAGCCGAGATCACGCCACTGCACTCCAGCCTGGGCGACAGAGGGAGACGCCATCTCAAAAAAAGAAAAAAAAAGATTATTTGTGACACCGGAGTTCAAGGCTGCAGTGAACTATGATCATGCCACTGCATTCTGGTGTGGGCAACAGGACCAGACTCCATCTCAAAAAGGGAAGGGGAGGAGAGGGGAGGGGAGATGACTAGGCATGTTAGGATTGTGTGTAACGCCATAAAGGTAAATGGGAAAATATTATATTGAGATATTAACCATCAGTGGCTCCCACCTATCCACTCATGGTCAGAGAGCATCAAACCACAGAATTCTGAAATCTTTTCCAATCAAAGCCAAATGTCCTCCATTTTGCCCTTGGACTGGGGCCTGCCAGAGCAAGCCCAGAGACACATCAAGGGCTGACGCTGGGTGAGAACTGCGCCCCCACCCTCTCCCGCTCTTCCTTCAAGCAGGTCAAAGATCTTGGGCTACTTGTCTCTGGAGGCCTTGTGAGTCCTGTGGAAGAGTTTGGGATTGAGAAGAGATGAATTTCTTGTGGCCAGGATTTCTTATGACCTGGGGTCCTTGAATATGGATGGGAAAAACAATTACATCTTTTTTGTTATTATTATTGAGGTGGAGTCTTGCTCTGTCACCAGGCTGGAGTGCAGTGGCATGATCTCGGCTCACTGCAACCTGGGCCTCCGGGGTTGAAGTGATTCTCCTGCCTCAGCCTCCTGAGTAGCTGCGACTACAGGCGCCCGCCACCACACCCGGCTAATTTTTCTATTTTTAGTAGAGATGGGGTTTCACCATGTTGGCCAGGATGGTCTCGATCTCTTGACCTCGTGATCCACCTGCTTTGGCCTCCCAAAGTGTTGGGATTACAGGCGTGAGCTACCACGCCCAGCCAAAAAATTACATCTTTATATTCACTAATTTGTATCTAAAATATAAATTTCTGGCTGGGCGAGTATAATACAAAGAGGGTTTTTTTTTCATTTAATGTTACAGCGAAGCGTACACGGCAAGTCCAAACTGGACCTCAGCATGCGAACACGTGTGTTTGACTTTTCCGTGCTGTTGATATCTACAATGCACAGAAGTCTGTAACTAAAACCAGGCCTTCAGTCACCAGAGAGGCCTCTGTAGCTGCCACAAACTTCAACCCCCAAACTCAGTTGCGTAGGAAGTACTTTGGGTTTTGGGGATCCTGTATTTCCATGGGTTGTGTACAGTTTTGGGAGTGCTTCTGTGGGAGGGCCTTATATATGATATATATATAAAATATATATCATATATATGATATATATTTTATATATATATATGATATATACTAAATATATATCATATATATGATATATACTATATATTATATACATATATGTGGTCTTATAGATGATAAACAGTTGGATAATTTAAAAAAACAAAACCAGGCTGGGAGTGGTGGCTCACGCCTGTAATCCCAGCACTCTGGGAGGCCAAGGCGGGTGGAACACTTGAAGTAAGGAGTTTGAGACTCCTTACTTCAACATGGACAACATGGTGAAACCCTGTCTCTACTAAAATACAAAAATTAGCCAGGTGTGGTGGCGCGTGACTGTGATCCCAGCTGCTCAGGAGGCTGAGGCACAAGAATTGCTTGAACCCAGGAGGGGGAAAGTTGCAGTGAGCTGAGATCATGCCACTGCACTCCAGCCAGGGTGACAGAGCAAGACTCAGTCTCCAAAAAAAAAACAAAAACAAAAGCCTCTCATTGGATTGCTCAGAGGCTGTGATGGAATTGCTGAACAGTGGCCAAGTATGGCCATCTTCATGGCACACCTGAGAAAGTCCATGGCCCTGGGAAAGGCGTGTCTGGCCTCTGCATTTGTTGCCTCACAGCTCAGGGAACCAAACTGGGACCCCGGACATGTTTGCACTGAGTCCACTCTCCAGTGCCTCCATTAGAGGCTGCATGGGCAGCCTCAACGACAAAGTCGGCTCTCCGTCTCATCTCTTATTTCTCCATTTTATACGTAAACTCACAACTCATGGCCTGAAAGAAGGACCAGCCAAAAGCTGCTTCCTCCTCCTTTCTTTTTTTTTTTTTGAGATGGAGTCTCGCTCTGTCGTCCAGGCTGGAGTGCAGTGGCGCGATCTCAGCTCACTGCAACCTCCGCCTCCTGGGCTCAAGCGATTCTCCTGCCTCAGCCTCCTGAGTAGCTGGGACTACAGGTGCCTGCCACCACGCCTGGCTGAGTTTTGTATTTTTAGTAGAGACGGGATTTTGCTATGTTGGCCAGGCTGGTCTCTAACTCCAGACCTTAAGTGATCCGCCTGCCATGGCCTCCCAAAGTGCTGGGATTACAGGCGTGAGTCACTGCGCCCGGCGCTTCCTCTTCCTTTCCATGTTTTTTATTTTTCTTTTTTTCTTTTTTTTGGAGACAAGGTCTCACTCTGTCACCCAGGCTGGAGTGCAGTGGCGCAGTCTCAGCTCTCAGCTCACTGCTGCCTCCACCTCCTGGGTTCAAGAGATTCTCCCTGCCTTAGCCTCTTGAGTAGCTGGGATTACAGGGGTGAACAACTGCACCTGGCCTACGTGTTTTGTTGCTGTTGTTGTTGTTTCTAAGACAAGGTCTTGCTCTGTCCCTCAGGCTGGAGTGCAGTGGTGCACATCACAGCTCACTGCAGCCTCGAACTCCTAAAGCCATCCTCCTGCCTCAGCCTCCCAAATAGCTGGGACTACAAGCATGCGCCACCATGCTTGGTTAATTTTTAAAATGGTATAGACAGGGCCTCACTATGTTGCCCAGTTTGGTCTCAAACTCCTTGGCTCAAGTGATTCTCCTGCCTCAGCCTCCCAAAGTGTTGGGATTACAAGTGTGAGCCACTGCACCCAGCCTCTTTTCTGTCTTGTCCGCAAATTCCCTCCCTGAAATAAAAGACCCTTCAGAGGTGAGAAAGAGTACTAGCCCTGCCCCGTTGAACTCTTGCAGAGAACCTGTTTTCCCACCCCTGCTTCCCCGATAGGCCTCTCTTAACTTTAACCCACCCCAAGCCCTGCAGGGAGAGGGGGTAGGATCTGAGGGGAAGGTAGGACTAGCGTCCAGCTTCCTTGTTACTCCCTGCACCCTGACCTTTCCCCTCTTCAGCTGGGCCTAGTGTGGGAAGCAGAGTCCCTGGCCTCAACTTGTCAAGTTATGCAATGGACCGGCTGACAGGTGAGGCAGGCTCTTCCCACCCCCAGAGTGGTAGACTCATTAGCTGCTTAGTAGCCAGCATCTTCAAAGGGCTGAGTGTTGAGGCCTTGGGAGGAGCTGGGGCAAGGCTGAGCTAGTGGCTGTGGGTCCTCCTCCCTCACCTCTATCCCTCAGGAGACACAGGAGATCCGGGTTCTGGTCCAAAATCTGCCACGGAAGAGCTAAGCATCCTCGGTCCATCCAAGTCTCCTTCCCACTCTAGCATTAGTTTTTCCATTTTTAAGACAAGTGATTAAAACTAGATGGAGCTGGACCCAGTGGCTCACATCTTAAATCCTAGCACTTTGGGGCCGGGCGCGGTGGCTCATGCCTGTAATCCCAGCACTTTGGGAGGCCGAGGTGGGCAGATCACCTGAGGTCAGGAGTCTGAGACCAGCCTGGCCAACATGGCGAAACCCCGTCTCTACTAAAAAATACAATTAGCCAGACGTGGTGGCACATGCTTTTAATCCCAGCTACTGGGGAAGCCGAGGCAGGAGAATTGCTTGAATCGAGTAAGCAGAAACTGCAGTGAGCCAGGATCACGCCACCGCACTGTAGCCTGGGCGACAGAGCAAGACTCCGTCTCAAAAAAAAAAAAAAAAAAAAAAAAGACTCAGGAGAGCTCTAGGCTGGCTGCTGAGCTTACAAACAGTGAGAAAGAGCCAAAGAAGGCTCATCACTAGAGATGCAAAAGGAAACCTAGAGACACAGCCAGATGTGAGGCTGGAGGATGCAAAAGAGAAACAGTGGGAATGGTTTGGAGGCAGTAGGATAGGAGAAGGTAGATGCTGGAATGACTTGCTTGTCCAAAATACAGTGTCCCACATAGTCCTGTTGTCATCAGAGAAAAATGTCATATTAGCCAAACATGCAATCAGCTCGGCTGGGAAATGAGGCCAAGTCTTCGTGACAGATACAGGCTGTGAGACACAGACTGGGAGGAGCAGGACAGGGGCTGGTTGCAGTCTGCATGGGGGAGGCGGAGGTGGATTTTTACAAGCTTCCATTGGCCTCTTGAGGCCTAACGTCTTTTTTGTTTTTTGTTTTGAGACGGAGTCTCCCTCTATTGGCCAGGCTGGAGTGCAGTGGCGCAATCTCGGCTCACTGAAACCTCCGCCTCCAGGGTTCAAGAGATTCTCCTGCCTTAGCCTCCCAAGTAGCTGGGACTACAGGCTTGTGCCACCATGCCCACCTAGCTTTTGAATTTTTAGTAGAGATGGGGGTTTCACAATATTGGCCAGGCTGGTCCTGAACTCCTGATCTCATGATCTGTCCATGTCGGCCTCCCAAAGTGTTGGGATTACAGGCATGAGCCACTGCATCCAGCTGAGGCCTGACATCTTGCTCCCTGGTCCCTAGTGCCTGATGGAGGAGAGATGAGGTACAGAGGGTAAATAACCTCAAGAGATTCCAGTAGTGAGTAAGGAACTTTGTCTTTCTCTTATTTTATTAATTTAATTTTTAATTTTTTTTTTTTCCTGAGACGGAGTCTCCCTCTGTCGCCAGGCTGGAGTGCAGAGGCACGATCTTGGCTCACTGCAACCTCCGCCTCCTGGGTTCAAGCAGTTCCCTTGCTTCAGCCTCCCAAGTAGCTGGGACTACAGGCATGCACCACCACGCCTAGCTAGCTTTTTGTATTTTAGTAGAGATGGGGTTTCACCATGTTGGCCAGGATGGTCTCGATCTCCTGACCTCGTGATCCACCCGCCTTGGCCTCCCAAAGTGCTGGGATTACAGGTGTGAGCCACCGCGCCTGGCCTATTTTTTAATTTTAAAATATTTAACATAGTCAAAAAATACATGTTGCCAGGCACGGTGGCTCACACCTGTAATCCCAGCACTTTGGGAGGCTGAGGCGGGCGGGTCACCTGAGGTCGGGAGTTCAAGACCAGCCTGACCAACATGGCAAAACCCCATCTTTACTAAAAATACAAAATTAGCTGGGCATGGTGGCGCATGCCTGTAATCCCAGCTACTCGGGAGGCTGAGGCAGAAGAATGGCATGAACCCAGGAGGCGGAGCTTGCAGTGAGCCGAGATCGCACCACTGCACTGCAGCCTGGGCAACAGAGCGAGACTCCGTCTAAAAAAAAAAAATAAAGTCATGCATATGTATTTTGTATGCACAATAAGACAAAGACTTGTGAACCTACCACTCATTTTAACAACTGGAATTCTTTTCCAGATTTTTGCTGTTTAAATAATGCTTCTGCCTGTAATCCCAGCAATTTGGGAGGCTGAGGTGGGAGGATCGCTTGAGCCCAGAAGTTTGAGACCAGCCTGGGCAACAAAGTGAGACTCTGTCTCGACAAAAAGTAAAGGCCGGGCTTGGTGGCTGATGCCTCTAATCCCAGAATTTTGGGAGGTCGAGGCGGTGGATCACTCAAGGTCAAAAGTTCAAGACCAGCCTGGCCAACATGGTGAAACCCCGCCTCTACTAAAAATACAAAAACTAACCAGGCACAGTGGTGCGTGCCTGTAATCCCAGCTACTCAGGAGGCTGAGGCAGGAGAATTGCTTGAACCCGGGAGGCGGAGGTTGCAGTGAGCCAATATCATGCCACTGCACTCCAGTCTGGGTGACAGAGGAAACTCTGTCTAAAAAAAAAAAAAAAGTACAAAAATTAGCCAGGTGTGCTGGTGTGCACGTGTGGTCCCAGCTACTCAGGAGGCTGAGGTGGGAGAAACGGTGTTTCTCCATGTTGGTCAGGCTGGTCTTGAACTCCAACCTCAGGTGATCCGCCCGCCTTGGCCTCCCAAAGTGCTGGGATTACAGGCATGAGCCACTTCGCCCAGCCACTAGTGGACTTTTTAATGCTCCAGTGAACATGCTGAGCTACTTCTAGTCCTGTAGTCCTATAGTCCTAACTGAATGACATGGAGGACAAGGGAGGGGAGGAATTGCCAGATTAGGGAGAGACTAGGGGACTTGGGGTCTTTCTATGTGACTCTGAGAATCCCTGGACTTTCTTAGAGAATGGAAGCCAGCTGGTGGATTTGTTATTCATAGTTCTGTTCCACCCCAAAGCACACTACGGCCTGATCCTCTGGGAATGATTGAAGATGCCTAAGTAACTGTCTGTCCTATCCGACCCCCGACAGCCTCTCCTGCTTCTCAGGTGAACACTGTTTACTTCCCTCTACTCTTGAAGTCAGTGTTTCTCCAAGTGTGGCACACAGCCACTTACATTAGAATCAGCTGACGTGTTGTTAAAATTGCAGATTCTTGGCTGGGCGCAGTGGCTCACGCCTATAATCCTAGCACTTTGGGAGGCCGAGGTGGGCAGATCACCTGAGGTCGGGAGTTTGAGAGCAGCCTGACCAACATGGCGAAACCTCATCTCTACTAAAAATAGAAAAATTAGCCAGGTATGGTGGCATATGCCTGTAATCCCAGCCACTTGGGAGGCCAAGGCAGGAAAATCGCTTGAACCTGGGAGGTTGCGGTTGCGGTGAGCCAAGATTGCACCATTGCACTCCAGCCTGGGCAACAAGAGTGAAACTCTGCCTCAAAAAAAAAAAAAAAAAAAGCAGATTCCCAGCTGGGCACGGGGGCTCACACCTGTAATCCTAGCACTTTGGGAGGCCGAGGTGGGCAGATCACGAGGTCAGGAGTTCTAGACCAGCCTGGCCAATATGGTGAAACCCCATCTCTACTAAAAATACAAAAATTAGCTGGGCATGGTGGCTTATGCCTGTAGTCCCAGCTGCTTGGGAGCCTGAGGCAGGAGAATCGCTTGAACCCGGGAGGCAGAGCTTGCAGTGAGCAGAGATCACAGCACTGCACTCCAGCCTGGGCAACAGAGTAAGACTGTCTCAAAAAAAAAAAAAAAAAAAAAAAAGCGTATTCTCAGACCTTGCCCCAGACTGAACCTGATTCTCTGGAGTGCGACTTAGGAACCTGCTGTTTAATTAGCTCCCCAAGTGATCTTCACATTGAGATTTGAGGGCTACTGCTCTAAGCACTGCCATCAAGGAGGTCAGGCCAAGGTCATCTCTAAGCAGCTTCAGACACTCTCCTCCGTAAGGGACAAGTTGAATCCCATTTTCCCCTGATGCTTCCCTTACTTCCGCTGACCCCTTAAATTGTAGGATCCGCAGGTACAAGATGTGTATCCCAGCATTGTTTATAGTAGAAAGAAACTAAAAACAGCTGCTTGCTAGTAGAAGCCTGGTAAAATATGTAATGGCTCATCTTTCCAGTGGAATGCTGTGCAGCTATTAGAAGTGGCTTGATGTCCGGGCGCGGTGGCTCACGCCTGTAATCCCACCGCTTTGGGACGCCAAGGTGGGTGGATCACTTGAGTCCAGGAGTTTGAGACCAGCCTGGGCAACATGGTGAAACCCCGTCTCTACAAAACATATAAAAATTAGCAGGGTGTGATGGTGGGTGCCTGTAGTCCCAGCTACCTGGGAGCCTGAGGTGGGAGAATGGCTTGAGCCCAGGGAAGTCGAAGTTGCAGAAAGGCAGAGGTTGCAGTGAGCCAAGATTGCGCCACTGCACTCCAACCTGGACAACGGAGCCAGACCCTGTCTCAAGAGATAAATAAAACACGGGCCGGGCGCGGTGGCTCACCCCTGTAATCCCAGCACTTTGGGAGGCGGAGGTGGGCGGATCACGAGGTCAGGAGAACAACACTACGGTGAAACCCCGTCTCTACTAAAAGTACAAAAAATTAGCCGGGTGCAGTGGCGAGCACTTGCAGTCCCAGCTACTGGGGAGGCTGAGGCAGGAGAACAGTGTGAACCCGGGAGGCGGAGCTTGCAGTGAGCCGAGATCGTGCCACTGCACTCTGGCCTGGGCGACAGAGTGAGACTGTTTCAAAAATAAATAAATAAATAAATAAATAAATAAATAAATAAATAAATAAAACAGTGTTTCAACCAGAGGTTCACAGACAACCTGTGGGGATTTTTTTTTTTGGCGGAGTTTTGCTTTTGTTGCCCAGGCTAGAGTGCAGTGGCGCGATGTCGGGGCTCACCGCAACCTCCGCCTCCCGGGTTCAAGCGAGTCTCCTGCCTCAGCCTCCCCAGTAGCTGGGATTACAGGCATGTGCCACCACACCAGGCTAATTTTGTATTTTTAGTAGAGATGGGGTTTTCTCCATTTTGGTCAGGCTGGTCTCGAACTCCTGGCCTCAGGTGACCCACCCGCCTAAGCTTCCCAAAGTGCTGGGATTACAGGCGTGAGCCACTGCGCCTGGCTAGCATTTGGATTTTTTAAAAAGGTCTTCCAAGATTCTGACGTGAACTCCTAGTTGAGACCTGTTGCTGTAATACAGAACTGTTGTTGATTGTGGGCCAATAAAAGAAACGCAAATAACTATTCAGAGGGCAAATTTGAGTGAGTACCCTAAGAAAGTGACGAAACAAATGCTATGGGGCTTCAACGGAGCTAGAGGTTACATCTGGATGGAAGAATGAAGAAGGCTTTATGGGTTAAGTGGCAATTTGTAATGAGACATGAAAGTATATGTAGGCTGTGGGACAGTAGAAATTGTGGGAAGGAGGCTGGACATGGTGGCTCACACCTGTAATTCCAGCACTTTGGGGGTCCAAGGTGGGCAGATCACTTCAGGTCAGGAATTTGAGCCTGTTCAACATGGTGAAACCCCATCTCTTTAAAAAAAAAAAAAAGCCGGGCAGGGAGGCGGGCACCTGTAATCCCAGCTAGCTACTCAGGAGGCTGAAGCAGGAGAATCACTTGAGCCTGGGAGGCAGAGGTTGCAGTGAGTTGAGATTGCACTGCTACATTCCAGCCTGGGCCACAGAGGAGACTCTGTCTCATTAAAAAAAAAAAAAAAAAGGAAACTGGGAAGAAGAGGAGGAGGATATATATATATATATATTTTTTTTTTTTTTTTTTTTTTTTTTGAGACAGAGTCTCACTCTGTTTCCCAGGCTGGAGTACAGTGGCACAGTGGCATGATCTCGGCTCACTGCAACCTCTGCCTCCTGGGTTCAAGTGATTCTCCTGCCTCAGCCTCCCGAGTAGCTGGGATTACAGGCGTGCACCACCACGCCCAGCTAATTTTTTGTATTTTTAGTAGAGACGGGATTTCACCATATTAGCCAGGGTGGTCTCCATCTCCTGACCTCATGATCTGCCTGCCTCGGCCTCCCAAAGTGCTGGGATTACAGGCATGAGCCACCGTGCCCGGCCAGGAAACTGTGGGAAGAAGAGGAGGAGGATGTTTCAGAAAGAGAGACTAGTTTGGGTGAAGAGAGATGCAGAAAAGAACACAGAATATGTTCAGAGACCAGATCATAGTGAATTTGGCTGGAAGGTAGTTAAACGCCGAAGGAAAAGGTAGATTGGAACTGCTGTGAATGGTCTTGTATTCTAGGATGAAGTCTTATTAAATATGAGTAGGAGAGTCAATATTGAAGAAATGCCAATCCTCTCAAAATTCATCTATCTATATAAAATGTAATAACAATAAAAAAATCCCAAAAGGATTTTTGTAGAAAACTTAATAAAATGGTTCTGGAGTTTATTGCATGGACATGTGAGTCAGGCAAATTCTGAAAAACAAGATTAACATAGGGGCCTTATGTTATATTATACTGCATAGTAATAGAAAGCTACACTAATTAAAACAAATGTGTACATGTATAGAAATAAGCTGACAGATCAATGAAACAAGTCTAGAAATAAACTCAAGCATATGTGGGAAGTACATGAATTACCAACAGGACGATTCAAATCGATGTGTTAAAAATGGTATTCACGCGGGCCGGCCGCAGTGGCTCATGCCTGTAATCCCAGCACTTTGGGAGGCCAAGGCAGGCAGGCGGATCACCTGAGGTCAGGAGAGCACTCTGGCCAACATGGTAAAAACCCGTGTCTACTAAAAATACAAAAATCAGCCAGGTGTGGTGGCTACTCAGAGGACTGAGATAGGAGAATTGCTTGAACCCAGGAGGCGGAGGTTGCCGTGAGCTGAGATCATGCCACTGCTCTCCAGCCTGGGTGACAGAGTGAGACTCCATCTCAAAAAAAAAAAAAAGGTATTCATGCTGGGTGTGGTGGCTCACATCTGTAATCCCAGCATTTTGGGAGGCCCAGCTGGAAGGAAGGATCGCTCTAGGCCAAGAGTTCAAGACTAGCCTGGGCAACATAGCAAGACTCTGTCTCTAAAAAAAAAAAAAAAAAAAAAAATTTTTTTTTTTTAATTCGCTGGATGTGATGGTGTGCACCTGTAGTCGTAGCTACTTAAGAGGCTGACATGGAGGCCAGGTGCGGTGGCTCACGCCTGTAATCCCAGCACTTTGGGAGGCCCAGGCAGGCGGATCACAAGGTCAGGAGATCAAGACCATCCCAGCTAACACGGTGAAACCCCGTCTCTACTAAAAATACAAAAAATTAGGCAGGTGTGATGGTAGGCGAGATCCTGCCTTCAGTTTTGGGGGCTATATACCTAGAAGTGGAATTGCCAGATCACAGGGTAATCCTATTTTTAATTTTTTGAGGAATTGCTCATTTTAGAGTATAATCCCTATTCGTCTACATTTTGATTCTGTTTTGTCTGTCTGTGGTGCTTGTGGATGAGGTGTGTGTAGTGAACACCATCACTCTTCAGCAGTATTTTGAGCACATGGAGGGACTGCAGGCCTGCCCTCTTCCCCACCCCAAGTTAGGTGGGGACATCTGAGTTGATTTGGTTGTCAATGATGCGTCTCACTTCCGAGTGGAAGCTCTGAAAAGCCATCCTCTCTCTCTCCTTTTTGCAGGGGTCCTGGAAGCCCATGTTGACATGGTGGTGCCGCAGACTGTGGCTATGTGGATCATAGAATCGTCACATGGAGGATGGCTGTCCTGAGCAGCTGCTGAGGCCACAGGAGGCTTTGCTTCCCCTCCAAACTGTCTTTTCCTGCATAAGTGTCAGGCTGTGTGTGTGTGTGTGGTTTTTTTTTTTTTTTTTTGACAAATTTGATTTTCTCTTCTTTTTCTTATTTTAAATCATTTTTTTTTAAATCATACAAATGATGTATGAATCCATTATCATTGTAAGACATTCAAATGATATAGACAAAATTAAAGACTCTCATGTCCCACTTCTAACATTCCAACTCAGTTTTCCTGAGGTTTCCCTAAGGTAACGCTGTTCTCAGTCTGGGTTTTTCCTTTCAGATCTTTTTCTACGGCTACTTTTATGCTTTATATTTTCATATTGAAATGTGTTCTGGTTTTACTTTATATAAACAATATCAAACTGAACCTACTGTTTCACAATTTCCTTTTACCTTATTCCATATCTTGGAAATTTTCTGTGTCAGTAGATATAGATTTCCTTTTTTTTTTTTTTTTTTTGAGACAGGGTCCCGCTTTGTCACCCAGGTTGGAATGCAGTGGCATGAACATGGCTCACTGTGGCCTCGACCTCTTCGGCTCAAGCAATCCTCCTGCCTCAGCCCCTCAAGTAGCTGGGACTATAGGCACACACCACCACACCCGGCTAATTTTTGTATTTTTTGTAGAAATGGGGTTTTGTCATGTTGGCTTCCCACACCACCACACCCGGCTAATTTTTTTATTTTTTGTAGAAATGGGGTTTTGCCATGTTGGCTTCCCACACCACCACACCCGGCTAATTTTTGTATTTTTTGTAGAAATGGGGTTTTGCCATGTTGGCTTCCTAGGCAGGGCTCAAACTCCTGGGCTCAAGCGAACCTACCTGCCTCAGCCTTCCAAGGTGCTGGGATTATAGGAATGAGCTATCGTACCTGGTCAATTTTTTTTGGTTTTTATGATTATTTTGTTTCTTAATCCATATGGGATTATTTTATGTATGGTGTAATTTTAATTTTTTTCCAAGTGGAAAACATCATTATTGGCTATTCTTGCACATTTTGTTTTCCAGCTAAATGTTATAATCATCTTAAGCTTCCTATAAAACTTCTTGGCATTTTAGATGGTCTTCCTATTCACCCTGTATTTTTTCAGAGTATCCTCAAATTTTCTGGTGTGTCAATAACACTAATTCTGAATTTTCAGCTCGATTTGAAATTTACTGTTTAATTTTTAAAATGAGTATGTTCTGTTTTATGAGACTTGGAACAGGAAGCAGGGCAGTAGTAAGATGTACATTTATATCCAGTTCTTCCACCAGCTATCATTATTCATTTATTTATTTTATTTTTTGAGACGGAGTCTCCCTCTGTTGCCCAGGGGGGAGTGCAATGGCGTGATCTTGGCTAACTGCAACCTCTGCCTCCCGGATTCAAGAGCCCAGGTAGTCGAGTCTACAGTGAGCTGTGATCATGACGCTACACTCCAGCCTGGGTGACAGAATGAGATCCTGTCTCAAAAACCGTAAAGAAATGAAAAAGAAAATGTGGTATCCTTAGTGCAGAGGATCACTTCAGTGGCTCTCTCAGTTATGTAAATGTAAGCTGAGAAAAAATAATTGTTCTGTAACAGGATATCTTTTTTTTTTTTTTTTTTTTTTTGTCATGGACTCTTGCTGTTGCCCAGGCTGGAATGCAGTGGCGTGATCTCAGTTCACTGCAATCTCTGCCTCCTGGGTTCAAGTGATTCTCCTGCCTCAGCCTCCCAAGTAGCTGGGATTACAGCCATCTACCACCCCGCCTGACTAATTTTTTGTATTTTTAATAGAGACGGGGTTTCATCATGTTGGCCAGGCTAGTCTAGAACTCATGACCACAGGTGATCCACCCTCCTCAGCCTCCGAAAGTGCTGGGATTACAGGTGTAAGCCACTGCACCTGCCTGGATATAGCTTTTGTGACAACTATAATGGCTATTAGATCCCTGATATGTAAACTTGGTCCCTAAGAAGGAGGTGGATACATTTACATAAGGAAGCTAGAGTCTTCTAAGCTAGAAGAAATTGATACTCAATGATTACTTTCTGAAATACAAAGTTAGAGAGACCTGTGGCTGTTGACAGGCTGGCTGTGGCCAAAGGACAGTGACAGGGAAGGGCCACAAAGTCCTTGAAATAATTAATTTCAGTCAAGAGGGAGTCCAGTCTGATGCCCTCAAGGATTGATTCCAGTCCAGTAGGCAGCTGATGCTGAAAGCAGCTCTGATAACTTGCTAGGCAACATTTCATAATTAGCAGCATTATTCACTGGATGTGCAGAATCAGTTTCCTGCTACAAAGAGGTAGCAAAGGATGTAACTGGCTAATTGGACATCTGCACTGTCCTTGCTGTGGTATGGAAGTTTGAGAGACTTCTCTGACCAATTACATCCTTGGACATTTCAGGGTAAATTTGGAAAAAGGCAGATGTTGTTAATCTATTCTGTGGAGTCTCCAGATAATTTTCATTTTATATAAAAAAGTTTTCAAGGATATGTATTTATCATTGTACCACAATATTTGGGAATAGGTCATACCAGATACATTGGAAAGAACCTATGTCCATCCACAGGGGAATTAGTTTTTTTTTTGTTGTTGTTTGTTTGTTTGTTTGTTTGTTTGTTTTTGAGATGGAGTCTTACTCTGTTGCCCAGGCTGGAGTGCAATGGCGCGATCTCGGCTCACTGCAACCTCTGCCTCCCGGGTTTAAGCGATTTTCCTGCCTCAGCCTCCCGAGTAGCTGGGATTGCAGGTGCCCGCCACCACGCCCAGCTAATTTTTGTATTTTTAATGGAGACGGGGTTTGACTATGTTGGCCAGGCTGGTCTCAAACTCCTGACCTCAAGTGACCCACCTGCCTTCGCCTCTCAGAGTGCTGGGATTATAGGTCTGGCCAACCCAACCTGGGCACGAATTAGTTTTTTAAAAAGTGGTATATCCAGCTGGGTGCGGTGGCCCAGGCCTATAATCCCAGCCCTCTGGGAGGCCGAGGCGAGTGGATCACGAAGTCAGGAGTTCGAGACCAACCTGGCCAACATGGTGAAACCCTGTCTCTACTAAAAATACAAAAAAATTAGCCAGGCGTGGTGGTGGGCACCTGTAATCCCAGCTACTCGGGAGGCTGAGGCAGAAGAATCGCTTGAACCTAGGAGGTGGAGGTTGCAGTGAGCCGAGATCACGCCACTGCACTCCAGCCTGGGCGACAGAGAGACTCTGTCTCAAAAAAAAAAAAAAAAGTGTTATATGCATTCAATGGAATACTGTGCACCTATCACAAAGAACAATAAAGAGCTATATTGTTGGAAGTGGAAGAATCTCCAAGAGTTATATTTGAGTATATGTGCATGTGTGTGTGTGTATATATATGTAATTACATATATATACAAATATATATTATTATTTGTATAAAAATTATTTGGTTATATATCCTTATGAGATATAGAGGTTTAGTAGTAAGGTTACCCAAATTTGATGGTGCTTGGCTGTGAGTGGTGAGATTTTAGATAATTTTTGTCTTTCTGATATCTTTATGTATTATTTAAATTATTTAAAAATTTTCAGTTATTAAAATGTTTTATCTTTATGGAATACTTAAAAAAAACTGACCAGAGAAGTTATAAGGAACAATATTATTATTATTAGGAACTCACTATATACTAGACATTCTGCTGTTTTATATGCATTATCTGATTTAATTCTCACAACCCCATGAGATTATTATCCTATTTTGTAATATTGAGCAAACTAAGCCTTCAAGTGTTTAAGCAAATTGCCCATACTCACAGGGTTAGTAAATGGTGGGGGCAGGATTAAAGGCCAGGTTTCCCAGCTGCAGTGCTACTAGGGTCTCTCTGGCCCGACCTACAGGTAAACTGGGTTGCTCTTTGGAGCTAACAGAAAGTTACCAATATCTTAAATACAATCACTTCAACCCCACCAGTCCTATCTCCGAGGCCATCTTTTCTTTTACCTTTCCAGCAGCATGCACTAAATAAAATGCCATAACTAGTATCAAAGCCACTACCAACCAAAGATGGAAAACTTTCTGTGGTAATATGTTACATTGGTTGCTGAAATGAACCATGCCTTCCAGTATTGGAAGGGACCCTGGCATAGTCCCCTCCCCTTGAATTGGGGCTAGCCCTTCTACTTGCTTTAACCAAGAATATAGCCAAGGTGCTAGTTCTGCACCTACGCTTTAAGAAGGCCTGGCAGCTTCCACTTTTGCCCTTTTGGGAGCCCCGAGCCAACATGTAAGAAGTATTCTGGCGGGGCACGATGGCTCATGCCTGTAATCTCAGTACTTTGGGAGGCCGAGGCGGGTGGATCATCTGAGGTCAGGAGTTTGAGACCAGCCTGGCCAACAGGATGAAACCCCGTCTCTACTAAAAATACAAAAAATTAGCTGGGCATGGTGGCGGGCGCCTGTAATCTCAGCTACTCAGCTACTTGGGAGGCTGAGGCAAGAAAATCGCTTGAACCCAGGAGGCAGAGGTTGCATGCAGTGAGCCGAGATGGCGCCATTGCACTCCAGCCTGGGCAATAAGAAACTCCATCTCGGGGGAAAAAAAAAATGTCATCCTACTCTGCTAGACAAATTACATGGAAAGGCCACGTGGACAGGGAGAGAACTTGGACTACAGGGAGAGAGACCCAGTTCTTTCAGCGGAACCAGCCCCCACTTGTTGCTATGACCACTGGCAAGACCAGCAGAACGGGTGGGCTAATCCCAGCCCAGATTGCAGAACTGTGAGCAAGTAAAATGGTGGTTGTTTTAAGTCTTACGTTTTGGGGCGGTTTGTTACACAACAGATTATGAAAACACCTCCTCAGCTTTCCTTGGGTGACTACTGGTACTCACTTGTGTATAAGTCTCCATTCCTTAATCCTTACTATCTCCCAATTTTATGGTAATAGTTTGCCAGAAGCGTTCACATTAACGACGAGGACGTAGGCAGGCCCCCCCTTTTTTTTTTTTTTTTGAGACAGAGTCTTGCTCTTTCGCTCAGGCTGGAGTGCAGTGGTGCGATCTTGGCTCACTGCAACCTCCGCTTCCCGGATTCAAGCGATTCTCCTGCCTCAGCCTCCCGAGTAGCTGGGATTACAGGCGCCCGCCACCACGCCCGGCTAATTTTTGTATTTTTAGTAGAGACGGGGTTTCACCATGTTGTCCAGGCTGGTCTTGAACTCCTGACCTCAGGTGATCTGCCCGCCTCAGCCTCCCAAAGTGCTGGGATTACAAGCGTGAGCCGCCGCGTCCGGCCGGATCCTCAGTTCTTTCGCTGTAAACGAGAGTACTCTTCCCCAACCCACAGGCTTATATCTCTTACAATTCAGTGAGTGAGACATCGGCTGAGGACACACCTGTTGCACAAAAAGGGCTCACTGCACGCCATCACACCCAAGTCTCGTACCCTCATCTTCATAACCTGCCCAATCCCAGTGAGTGTGAGAGGTAAGTCTGCAGCAGGGCCCGGAAAACTTGTTTCTTTTTCTTTTAAATAAGTTTTCTCGCGAATTCGAACGCATGTCCTCCTCCTGCCATACCTCAAAGGACTCCGCTCGTCACCACGCCCCCGCGCCTTCTGTTAGGAGCAGCAAACCCCAGGTGTCGCGAGGGTTTCTTCTTTCTTCAAGATCAGCCACAGGTCGCGCGAGAGGGATGTGTCCAATCACGAGGCTAGATGGCTTCACAAGATGGCGGCGCGCTGGGAGCGTATCATCTGCGTTTCTAGGAGCTTCGCTATGCGGCTGCTTTAAGATTCTAGGGTTGTACAGGCCCACGCCAGACACGACGTCTGGCAGGAACCTCGGCCTCAGAGGTGGGTCACTTATATCTCTCACGCAGATTTACTATCATGGGTCACTTAACCCGTGGATCACACGGGTTCCTCATTCTTGAGTTTTGGGCTAGTGAGGTGCCGACTTCGGGGTCTAGGAGGGGAGACCTGATGTGGCTGTGTGTGCGCACGCGGGGGTGTTGAGAGTGGATGAGTGGGAGGAGTTGGCGAATAGAATAGAGACTAGGACTGAAGTAGGAAAGACTCCCCGGTGTTTAGGAGGTTTAGAGAGATCCAAAACTGAGGCGGGAAGACAAACTGAGCTGATAAAATGAGGGCATGGAAAGAACGGCAGTGGCAGGACTAGTGGGAAACGTCGGATTTATGAGAGAAGGCGAAGAGAGAAGATGTAGATTGGTGTGGAAGTGGGAGGGATCTGTGCAGAAAGAATTTGAAGTTCTGAAATTGGAATTTAGACTGTTTTACAGGCTGTGTATCAAGAGAGTGGTAGTTGAAGAGGGTTAATGGTCAAGAGGAACCAAGGAAACAGAAGCATGGAGATGAGAAAGAAAAAAAAAAAAAGGGAAAGCCTCATTCTCAGGGTTCTACTATTAACTGTGGCTTTCTGGACTGACTCAAGTAACCGGGAAGAAAAGTTCCAGTCCATGGGCTGAGCTTTTTTTGAAACTCAGTGAGGGTGCTTTGTGTCGGTGGTCCAGACAGGGAAGAGTTCTATCGTGGTTTCAATCAACAAATACTTGAGTGCCTACTCTCTTAGGCCCTATTTTAGGCGTTGGGATATGCGGTGAACAAGACAGACAAAATATTTACCCTCTTGAAACTTACTGACGGGAGATTTTTTAAAGTAAGTAAAATATATGGAATGCCAGATGGGTAAATTCTGTGTAGAAAATTGAAGCTAGAGCCTGGGTAGCAAAGCCAGACTCCCTTTCTACAAAAAATGAAGTAAATTAACCAGGTGCAGTGCTCTGTACCTGTAGTCCCAGCTGCTTGGGAGGCTCAGGCGGGAGGATTGCTTGATCTCAGGAGTTGGAGGCTGCAGGGAGCTATGATTCCATCATTGCACTCTGGGCAACAGAATGGAAGACCTTGTCTCAACAAGAAGAAAAAAAAAAGAATTGATGCCCAGTTAAACTCTGAAGAATAGGTTATATTTAGCTAAGAACTCATTGCCTATATTGGGAGGTTAGTTAGAAAAGAAGTGGTTGTATTTACTCATTCTGTATCTGTTCTGACCAGAAAAGTTGAATAATGTAGGAAATGAATCGAATCTGCCATGTCTGTAATTTAATTTGTTTCACATATATTCAGAGTATTATGTTGTGTGTGCACTGATGTCAGCTATGTAGTCTGTAGAATTTTCCTTAATGTGTGGCAGAGCCCTAACATGCCACTGTCTCTTGAAGTCACTGTTAGGATATGGTGACTAAAGTCAGCAACAATGTATATTTCAAAATAGCTAGGAGAGGGCTTGAAATGTTACCAATACATAGATATAAAAAATACTCAAAGTGGTGAATACCCCATATACTCTGACTTGATCAGCACACATTCTATGCGTGGAACAAATACCGCATAAATGTCACATGTCCCCCATAAATTGGGAAAATATTTTCCATCAGTTTAAAGAAATTACTCTTAGTTTACTTTTTTTTGTTGCTTGCCAGAATCACAAGAAAGAACATTTTCTTTTTCTTTTTTTTTTTTGAGACAGTTTCACTGTCACCAAGGCTGGAGTGCAGTAGCACGATCTTGGCTCACTGCAACCTCCACCTCCTGGGTTCAAGTGATTCTCCTGCCTCAGCCTCCCGAGTAGCTGGGATTACAGGCACCCACCACCACGCCCAGCTAATTTTTTTTTTTTTTTTGAGACGGAGTGTTGCTCTGTCACCAGGCTGGAGTGCAGTGGCGTGATCTTGGCTCACTGCAACTTCGGCCTCCTGAATTCAAGTGATTCTCCTGCCTCAGCCTCCCAAGTAGCTGGGACTTCAGGCACATGCCACCACACCCAGCTAATTTTTGTATTTTTAGTAGAGATAGGGTTTCACTATGTTGGCCAGGATGGTCTCCATGTTGGCCAGGCTGGTCTCACAAACTCCTGACCTCAGGTGATCCTCCAGTCTTGGCCTCCGAAAGTGTTGGGATTATAGTCGTGAGCGACTGTGCCCGGCCAACACTTTAATTTTGGATATTTTCTTTTTAATAAAGTCTATTATTTGTATTTGTTTATTTTGAGACAGGGTCTCACTGTGTGGCCCAGGCTGGACTGGAACTCCTGGGCTCAAGCTATCCTTGGCATCCCTAGTAGCTAGGAACACAGGCATGCACCACCTTGCCCAGTTGATGTTTTCTTGAGAACTGGGGGCCATCCTAGTTTTATGCTCCCCTCTTTCCTGATGGTCAGTAAAGGGTATGTCAATGCTAGGAAATTAAGACAGGTATATAGTCATTTTTAGTCATAGTGTGAGGGGCAAAATGTAGTAACAGTATGCTGAAAAACTTTCAGGTGACTACTAATCCCCTCAAATTCTGAATTGTTTACTCAAAAAATATTTATTGTATACAGGTTGCTGGGGGTATAGTAAAGACTAGGATGGATATGGTTGCAGGTCTATGTGTGACATATGCAAATTAATTACACACCCAGTAGTAAACTGAAGATCTCTGAGGGAGAAGCAGCACAGGGTGCTTTGAAAGCGTGTAGATGGGCATCTGATTGGATTGTGGGGTCAGAGAAAGGCTGCCTGAGTAAATGATGCCTAGGGTGTGATTTGAGTAGCTAGTGGACCTTCAGAGGTGAAAGGCGATGGTGGGAGGTTGAGGAGAGTCTTACAGGCAGTAAGAATAGGAGATGGTGAGACAGACTACCATGCAGCAGAGAAAATGGAAGAAGACCAGTATGTCTGGAAGGGGAAAGTGGCAACAAATGAAGTTGGAGGGACAGATAAGGCCTGGATTATGCCTGCCTTTTTAATGATTTTAGACTTTTTTAGCTTAATAGCTTTGGGATGCCACTGAAGGGATTTAATAAGGAAATGTTCACATTTGCATGGGGGGAGTGGCTTGTCTGCTGAGTGAAAAGTGGCTGGTAGAGGGCAAGAGTGTTTATGAAGAGATCAGTTTGAGACTCTTAGAGCAACCCAAGAAAGACATGATAATGACCTGGGCCAGAGAGGTGGTGTTGTGAAGGGTGAAAAGTGGGATAAGGTCAAGAAATAATTGGGAGATGGAGTATTCAGGACCTGGTGTGTTGTGAATGGGGGAGGCAGCATGGAGAAGGTGTTGAAGATTTTTGATGTGTTTATCACAAGAAAGATAGCAGTGCATTTGGTGAGATAGGGAAGATGAGAAGGACCAGTTTGGGGTGGGTAGAAGTGATTTAATTTTGCACATATTGTACATGTATTTTTGAGCCCTTCAAGTGAGAAATATGGTAGGCAGTTGGATATGTGATTTGGAAAAGTCTGGAATGAAGACAACAGTTCTTTTCTGAAATTGGTTTAATTTCCAGTGTAGGAAGCTGTCAAAAAACCATCTGAAATAGCATTGACAGATTTATGACTATGTAAAATTATGTCTCTAACAAAGATTGCAAAAGAAAAATATTTATTGCTAGGAGATGTTATAATAGAGGATTTGTCTTTTTTTTTTTTTTTATTGATCATTCTTGGGTGTTTCTCGCAGAGGGGGATTTGGCAGGGTCACAGGACAATAGTGGAGGGAAGGTCAGCAGATAAACAAGTGAACAAAGGTCTCTGGTTTTCCTAGGCAGAGAACCCTGCGGCCTTCCGCAGTGTTTGTGTCCCTGGGTACTTGAGATTAGGGAGTGGTGATGACTCTTAAGGAGCATGCTGCCTTCAAGCATCTGTTTAACAAAGCATATCTTGCACCACCCTTCATCCATTCAACCCTGAGTGGACACAGCACATATTTCAGAGAGCACAGGGTTGGGGGTAAGGTCACAGATCAACAGGATCCCAAGGCAGAAGAATTTTTCTTAGTACAGAACAAAATGAAAAGTCTCCCATGTCTACCTCTTTCTACACAGCCACGGCAACCATCCGATTTCTCAATCTTTTCCCCACCTTTCCCCCTTTTCTATTCCACAAAACCGCCATTGTCATCATGGCCCATTCTCAATGAGCTGTTGGGTACACCACCCAGACGGGGTGGTGGCCGGGCAGAGGGGCTCCTCACTTCCCAGTAGGGGCGGCCGGGCAGAGGCGCCCCTCACCTCCCGGATGGGGCGGCTGGCCGGGCGGGGGGCTGACCCCCCCACCTCCCTCCCGGACAGGGCGGCTGTCCGGGCAGAGGGGCTCCTCACTTCCCAGTAGGGGCGGCCGGGCAGAGGCACCCCTCACCTCCCGGATGGGGCGGCTGGCCGGGCTGGGGGCTGACCCCCCCACCTCCCTCCCGGACGGGGTGGCTGGCTGGGTGGGGGGCTGACCCCCCCACCTCCCTCCTGGATGGGGTGGCTGGCCGGGCAGAGGGGCTCCTCTCTTCCCAGTAGAGGCGGCCGGGCAGAGGCGCCCCTCACCTCCCGGTCGGGGCGGCTGGCCGGGCGGGGGGCTGACCCCCTCACCTCCTTCCCGGACGGGGCGGCTGGCCGGGCAGAGGGGCTCCTCACTTCGCAGTAGGGGCGGCCGGGCAGAGGTGCCCCTCACCTCCTGGACGGGGCGGCTGGCCAGGCGGGGGGCTGACCCCCACCTCCCTCCCGGACGGGGTGGCTGCCGGGTGGAGACGATCCTCACTTCCCAGACGGGGTGGCTGCCGGGCGGAGGGGCTCCTCACTTCTCCGACGGGGCGGTTGCCAGGCAGAGGGTCTCCTCACTTCTCAGACGGGGCGGCCGGGCAGAGATGCTCCTCACATCCCAGACGGGGCGGCAGGGCAGAGGCGCTCCCCACATCTCAGATGATGGGCGGCCGGGCAGAGACGCTCCTCACTTCCTAGATGGGATGGCGGCCGGGCAGAGACGCTCCTCACTTTCCAGACTGGGCAGCCAGGCAGAGAGGCTCCTCACATCCCAGATGATGGGCGGCCAGGCAGAGACGCTCCTCACTTCCCAGACGGGGTGGCGGCTGGGCAGAGGCTGCAATCTCGGCACTTTGCGGGGCCAAGGCAGGCAGCTGGGAGGTGGAGGTTGTAGCGAGCCGCGATTACGCCACTGCACTCCAGCCTGGGCACCATTGAGCACTGAGTGAACGCAACTCCGTCTGCCATCCCGGCACCTTGGGAGGCCGAGGCTGGCGGATCACTCGCGGTTAGGAGCTGGAGACCAGCCCGGCCAACACAGCGAAACCCCGTCTCCACCAAAAAAATACGAAAACCAGTCAGGCGTGGCGGCGTGCGCCTGCAATCGCAGGCACTCGGCAGGCTGAGGCAGGAGAATCAGGCAGGGAGGTTGCAGTGAGCCGAGATGGCAGCAGCACAGTTCAGCTTCGGCTCGGCATCAGAGGGAGACCGTGGCAAGAGGGGGAGAGGGAGAGGGAGAGGGAGACCGTGGGGAGAGGGAGAGGGAGGGGGAGGGGGAGGGAGAGGGAGAGGATTTGTCTTAACTGGGGAGATTAGGGAAGGAAAGATCTTCCTGAAGAAGAGGTGCTTGAACTGTGAGCCCAAGAATGACTAAGAATTTGCCGACTGAAGAGAGGGAGGAAAAAACGTTACAGATAAAAAGAATAACCTGCATAGGAGGCTGAGGCAGGAGAATCGCTTGAACCCGGGAGGCAGACGTTGCAGTGAGCCAAGATTGCGCCACTGCACTCCAGCCTGGTGACAGAGGGAGACTCTGTCTCAAAAAAAAAAGAATAGCCTGCATAAAGGTCCTGTGGTCAGGGTAGAAGGACACAAAGAGCAAGGGCATGTGACTTAAACTGATGGTGAAAAGATAGGCAAGGCCAGGTCATGTAGTGCCTTGCATGTAGGCTGAAGTGATGTTTTTTTATTTTATCCTAAGAGTAAGGTTTTGAGCAGGTGGACATAGGAGAAGGACATACTGAGATTTGTGTTTGGAAATGATCACTACGAGGTGGAAGGAGGGATGGTGAGAACAAGAGTGGATGCAGGGAGACCAATTAAGAGGCTACTGTAAACCAGGTGCGGTGGTGCACACCTGTAGTCTCAGCCATTTGGGAGCCCGAGGTGGGAGGATTGCTTAAGCTCAGGAGTTCAAGTCTGGCCTGGGCAATGTAGTCTCTAAGGAAATAAAAGTAAGTAAATAAAAAGGCTGTTCTGGCCGGGCGTGGTGGCTTACAACTATAATCCTAGCACTTTGGGAGGCTGAGGTGGCAGGATTGCTTGAGGCCAGGAGTTCAATACCAACCTGGCCAACATAACGAAACCATGTATCTAAAAAAAAAAAAAAAAAAAAAAAAAAAAAAAAAAAATGCCTCTGGGCTTGACATTGTTGGGGACAGGGAAAAAGAGTGGATTTAAGAGGTATTTAGCAGGTAAAACCTACAGAAGTGGTGATTTCTTGGATATGAGAAACTATCAACTGACTCCTAGATTTTTGGCTAACATAATATTGTTTAGAAGAATAATCATTATTTAAAAGGTAAAAAATAAAGATATTAAGAAAATAAAAGTCACTTGCCACCCAGAGAGAGATATATATATATATAATAGTAAAATATTTTTTAAATTACCAACTACCTGGAGATTTACTAAACCATTATAATAGTTTCTCTTTCAGTGTTTATGTCTTGATATAAGTACATTTGCTTTTATTTCTTGTTGTAATCTGGAAGAAGACAAAATTATGTTCGTTTTCATTTGGTTTTAGCTACCTAGGAATGACAAGATTGAAACTTTAAGTTGGAATCAAAGATATTTTTTCAAAGTTTGGTGATGTTATGGTACACTACCAAATATTCAGTCCTTGTAAGGATACTGTAAAAACTAACCCCCAAGCTGGGTGTGATGGTTCATGTCTGTAGTCGTAGCACTTTGGGAGGCTGAGGCAGGAGGATCACTTGAGCTCAGGAGTCGGAAACCAATCTGGGCAACAAAGGGAGACCCTGTCTCTACAAAAAATAAAATTAAAAATAAATTAGCCAGGCGTGGTGGCATGGTGGCACATACCTATAGTCCCAGCTACTCGGGAGGCTGAGGTGGAAGGACTGTTTGAGCATGGGAGATTGAGGCTGCAGTGAGGTATGATTGTGCTACTGCACTCCATCCTGGATGACAGAGTGAGACACTGTCTCAGAACAAACAAAACAAGACAAAACAAAACACAACTAACCTCTAACTAATATCCTTGGTTATAGATCATATATACAGACTGTGTTCTGTCACTTTGATGCTCTTAAAGGAATACTTTTCAGCTTTCTTCCCTTGATTTAAAAAAAAAGACTCACTCTTACGTTGTCTGCATTTTTAAAATCATGGAAAAATATACATAACATAAAATTTACCATTTTAGCCATTTTTAAGTGTACCATTCAGTGACATTAAATGTGTTCATTCTCTTGTGCAACCATCACCTCTATCTCCAGAACTTTGTCATCATTCCAAAGTGAAACTCTGTACCTATTAAACAGTAACTCCTCATTCTTCCCTCCCCAGCTCCTCATCACCTCTATTCCACTCTCCATCTGTGTAATAAATTTACCTCTACTGGGTGCCTCATATAAGTGAAAGCATACAATATTTGTCCTTTTGTGTGTGGTTTATTTCCCTTAGCATGGTGTTTTCAGGGTTCTTCCATGTTGTAGCATGTATCAGAATTTCATTTCTTCTTAGGGCTGCATAATATTTATTGTATGTATATACCGTATTTTCTTGATCCATATTTATTGTATGGATATACCATATTTTGTTGATCATATGTATTGTATGGGTATATCGTATTTTGTTGATCCATATTTATTGTATGGATATACCGTATTTTGTTGATCCATATTTAGTGTGTGGATATACCGTATTTTGTTGATCCATATTTAGTGTGTGGATATACCGTATTTTGTTGATCCATATTTACTGTATGGATATACCATGTTTTGTTTATCCATATTTATTGTATGGATATACTGTATTTTGTTTATCCATATTTATTGTATGGATATACCATATTTTGTTGATCCATATTTATTGTATGGATATACCATCTTTTGTTGATCCATATTTATTGTATGGATATACCATGTTTTGTTAATCTATATTTATTGTATGGATTACTGTATTTTGTTGATCCATATTTAGTGTATGGATATACTGTATTTCATTGACCCATATTTATTTTATGGATATACTGTATTTTGTTGACCCATATTTAGTGTATGGATATACCGTATTTTGTTGACCCATATTTATTGTATGGATATACTGTATTTTGTTGACCCATATTTAGTGTATGGATATACCGTATTTTGTTGATCCATATTTAGGGTATGGATATACCGTATTTTGTTGACCCATATTTATTATATGGATATACCGTATTTTCATATTTAGTGTATGGATATACTGTATTTTGTTGATCCATATTTAGGGTATGGATATACTGTATTTTGTTGATCCATATTTAGTGTATGGATATACTGTATTTTGTTGGTCCACATTCATCTGCTGATGGACACTCAGATTGTTTCCCACCTTTTCACTCTTGGGAATGATACTACTATGAACACTGCTGTACAAATATCTGTTTCAGTTCCTCCTTTCAGTTCTTTTGGGAATATACCTAGGAGTGGAATTGCTGAATCAGATAGTAATTCTATGTTTAGCTTTTTAAAGAACCGCCAAGCGTTTTTCGACAGCAGCTGTGCCATTTCACATTCCCAACAGCAATGCATGAGAACTCCAATTTCTTCACATCCTTGCAGAACACTCGTTGTTTCTGTTTTTTTAATTTTTTATTTTTGTTTTTTTGTTGACAGCAGCCATCCTAGTGGGTATGAAGTGGTGTCTCACGTGGTTTTGATTTGTATTTCCCTGATGACTAATGATGTTCACCATCTCTTCATGTGCTTATTTGTTGTATGCATTTTAAAAATGTGATTTCTACTTTCTCACTTGATCGGCAAAGACATGTTGGCTGTAACTATTAACTTGGCATCCACAGCTTTCCCCACTGATTTTTTTTTTTTTGAGACGGAGTTTCGCTCTTGTTGCCCAGGCTGGAGTGCAATGGCGTGATCTCGGCTCACTGCACCCTCCACCTCCTGGGTTCAAGCAATTCTCCTGCCTCAGCCTCCCAAGTAGCTGGGATTACAGGCTCCCGCCACCATGCTCGGCTACTTGGCTACTTTTTGTATTTTTAGTAGAGACGGGCTTTCATCCCATCATGTTGGCCAGGATGGGATGGTCTTGAACTCCTGAATCAGGTGATCTACTTACCTTGGCCTCCCAAAGTACTGGGATTAGAGGCATGAGGCACCGCACCCGGCCCCCATTAATGGTTTTTAATAAATATGCTGATTTTCTTTCTCTCTTTCTCTCCTTAAGATGGCTCTGAGTAAATCAATGCATGCAAGAAATAGATACAAGGACAAACCTCCTGACTTTGCATATCTGGCATCCAAATATCCAGATTTTAAGCAGCATGTTCAGATAAATCTGAATGGAAGAGTGAGGTAGGTAACGGATGAAAAATCACTGTTATTCTTGTGTGATTCAAATGGATATGATGTAATAGAAAGCCCACCTGAGTGTTAATCTTAGACATTTGATTAAACGTCCCATGCGACCTTGGACAAATCACTTAACCTCTCTTGGTCTCAGCTTTTTAATGTATAACATTAGAGGAATGGACCAGATGCTTTTAAGTTTCCTTCTGGCTTAAAAAAAAATTCTCTTGATGTCCAAATTGTTGCTTACCCTACGGAAATCCCAGAGTAACTTCAGAGATTTACGATTGTGCTCTTTGTGATCTAAAACTTAGTGACTGGTGAGGATCTAAACACTTTTTTTTTTTTTTTTGAGACAAAGTCTCGCTCTGTTGCCCAGGCTAGAGTACAGTGGCATGATCTCGGCTCACTGCAACCTCTGCCTCCCAGGTTCAAGTGATTCTCCTGCCTCAGCCTCCTGAGTAGCTGGGATTACAGGCGCCCGCCACCACACTCAGCCAACGTCTGTATTTTTAGTAGAGACGGGGTTTCACCATGTTGGTCAGACTGGTCTGGAACTCCTGACCTCGTGATCCGCCCACCTTGGCCTCCCAAAGTGCTGGGATTACAGGTGTGAGCCACTGTGCCTGGCCTAAAGATATTTTAATAAGTGTGTGTTTATTTTGATGTGAGGCAGGAAAATAATAACCAGGACATCAGGACTGATTTCACAGATATTATTATTTAAGATGTTACTAAATTTAAGAAGTTGATTTATTTTTATTTATTTATTTTGTTTTTAGAGATAGGATCTTGCTCTGTTGCCCAAGCTGGAGTGCAGTGGCACAGTCATAGCTTGTGATAGCATTGAACTCCTGGGCTCAAGCTGTCTTCCTGCCCCAGCCTCCCCAGATAAAAATAGCCAAGTGTGCCCTACCATGCTTAGCTATTTTTATTTTTATTTTTGTAGAGACAAGGTCTTGTCATATTGCCCAGGCTGGTCTCAAACGCCTAGATTCAAGTGGTCCTCCCTCCTTTGCCTCCCAAGGTTCTGAGATTACAGCCACCACACCAAGCCAGAAAGTTGATTTTTTATTTTTACTTTATTTTATTTTTTTGAGACGGAGTCTCTGTTGCCCAGGGTGGAGTACAGTGGTGCAGTCTCGCCTCACTGCAACCTCTGCCTCCTGAGTTCAAGCAATTCTCCTGTCTCAGCCTCCTGAGTAGCTGGGACTACAGGCCTCTACCACCACGCCTGGCTAATTTTTGTATTTTTAGTAGGGACAGAGTTTCACCATGTTGGCCAGACTGGTCTTGAACTCCTGGCCTCAGGTGATCCGCCCGCCTTGGCTTCCCAAAGTGCTGGGATTACAGGTGTGAGCCATGTGCCCGGCCTTGATTTTTTTAAATTAAGAAAATAATAGTATAAGTGTTTCAGGAAATGGCAAAATTATGATAACTATATGGGAATGACTGATGTGTCTTTTATACCTCTGAGAAAGAACTATCTCTAACTGCATTCCTCAACTCTGCGAGTTACAGAGGGAATTGGAAATTCCCAGCCTGCCTGGAGAGAGGCGTGGTGATTCAGCTATGGGAAGGAAGAGGAGCAGGATTAGAGGAGAAAAAGGAAGGGAAAGAATAATAGTGGCCGGGCGCGGTGGCTCACGCCTGGAATCCCAGCACTTTGGGAGGCCAAGGTGGGCGGATCACTTGAGGTCAGGAGTTTGAGACCAGCCTGACCAACAGGGTGAAAACCTCATCTCTACTAAAAATACAAAAATGAGCTGGGTGTGGTGGCGCAAGCCTGTAATCCCAGCTACTCCGGAGGCTGAGTGAGGCAGGAGAATCACTTGAACCTGAGAGGTGGAGGTTGCAGTGAGCCGAGATTGTGCCACTGCACTCCAACCTGGGTGACAGACTGAGACTCCATCTCAAAAAAAAAAGAAAAAAGAAAAAAAGAAGATTAGGATCATAGGGCTTGAGGCATTTTCTTCACCTCTTCTTTACTCTAAGCCCTCTTCTTATAGCTTTAGAAATGGAGGCCCTGGGGCAAGACTTAACCTGGAAGCCAAGATAACCCTTAAAATCATACAGGAGTTCAAACAAATATTTATGTTCATTTTTCTGACAGATAATCCTTAGCTGTCATCACATTCTCAAAGGGATCTGTGAAACTCTCCACCCACACCCAAGTATAAGGGTTAAGATCACTTTGGGAGGCCGAGGTGGGCAGATCACCTGAAGTTAGGAGTTCAAGACCAGCCTGGCCAACAAAGCAAAACCCTGTCTCTATTAAAAATACAAAAAATTAGCTGGGTGTGGTGATGCACACTATAGTCACAGCTACTCAGGAGACTGAGGAGGGAGAATTGCTTGAACTGGGGAGGCGGAGGTTTTAGTGAACCGAGATCATGCCACTGCACTTCAGCCTGGGCAACAGAATGAGACTCTATCTCAAAAAAATAGAATAAATTGAGCACAGCCTATATGTGAATGCTTGTACTACTTACTGTGTTAATATATTAAGTACATTTGAAAACATATTTCAAAATAGAAATTAAAAATATATTTAAATAGGACTTCAGGTATTTTCTTTGGATACCATAATCACCTTTGGCACCTTACTTTGGAGTCACTTACCCTAAAGAGATTGAATTGGGATTTCTCTGTTTATAACATCTCTCTCATTGTTTGTAAGTCATTGTTTCATAGTGATATACGTGGATGTTGATCCTAGTAGCTTTAGGAAAGATACCATTTTAGTGGGGTGCAACACTGTGCATCTGTAGTCCCAGCTACATGAGAGGCTGAGGTGAGAGGATCTTGAGTCCAGGAGTCTGAATCCAGCCTGGGCAACATAGCGAAATCCTGTAATTAAAAAAAAAAAAAAAAAAAAGATATAGTTTTGTCATTGTTTGTTTCCTCTCTATACTTACTATTGTACTTAATCAGCTATTTAACAAAAACCTATTGATTAGCCACATTGTGCTCAGTTCTAGGAAAGCCTTAAAAAACAAGAAAGATGTCACTGCCACAGTCACACGCTAGTTTATACACTAGTGGGGAAAATGGACAAATACATAAGCCGTTAACCTTTTAGTATGGGAGAATCCGGGGGATGTGCAGTGGGATCACATGAAAAGGAGACCGTACCCTGACTTTGGGATTTAGAGAATGATTTGAAACCGAAATGGTCTCTTGGTTGTGTTTTAAGGAATGAGTGGAGTGAGCCAGGTAGAAAGAAGAGTATTCCAGGCAGAGGCAGCAGCATGTGCAAAGAATACTGGGCAGAGGGGAACTGAAGAAGTGAAGCGTGGCTGGGGTGCAGTGGACAAGAGACAGGAGGAGGTGGGCTGGGGATGGTTATACTTTGTGGTGCTTTATAAGGCCCACTGAGGAGTTTGAAATTTTTCTTAAGGGCGTGGTATGGAGGATTCTTGTGCCTTGCCCATCCCCATCCTCATCCACTAAAGTTTTATATTATTTTCTGAGACACAGTCTTGCTCTGTTGCCCAGGCTGGAGTGCAGTAATGTCATCTTGGTTCACTGCAACCTCCGCCTCCTGGGTTCAAACGATTCTCCTGTCTCAGCCTCCTGAGTAGCTGGGATTACAGGCTCGCACCACCACGGCCATCTAATTTTTGTATTTTTAGTAAAGACGGAGTTTCAACATGTTGGCCAGGCTGGTCTCAGAACTCCTGACTTCAAGTGATCTGCCCACCTCAACCTCCCAAAGTACTGGGATTACAGGCGTGAGCCACCGCGCCCAGCTGATGGTTAGGATTTTTAAGATTTTTGTTTTGTTTTGCATTGTTTGGAGACAGAGTCTTGCTCTGTCACCAGGCTGGAGTGCAGTGGCGCTGTCTCGGCTCACCGCAAGCTCTGCCTCCCGGGTTCAAGAGATTCTCCTGCCTCAACCTCCTGAGTAGCTGGGACTACAGGCACATGCCACCATGCCCAACTAATTTTTGTATTTTTAGTAGAGACGGGGTTTCACTATGATGGGCAGGATGGTCTCGATCTCTTTTTTTTTTGAGATGGAGTCTTACTCTGTCGCCCAGGCTGGAGTGCAGTGGCGCGATCTCGGCTCACTGCAAGCTCTGCCTCCCGGGTTCACGCCATTCTCCTGCCTCAGCCTCCTGAGTAGCTGGGACTACAGGTGCCCGCCACCACGCCCTGCTAATTTTTTGTATTTTTAGTAGAGATGGGGTTTCACCGTGTTAGCCACGATGGTCTCGATCTCCTGACCTCGTGATCTGCCCACCTCAGCCTCCCAAAGTGCTGGGATTACAGGCGTGAGCCACCGCGCCGGGCCTAAGAGGTATATTTTTTAAAAGGCCAAGCGCAGTGCCTCATACCTGCAGTCACAGCACTTTCAGAGGCTGAGGCAGGAGGACTGCTTGAGCCCAGGGGGTCAAGGCTGCAGTGAACCATGATCGCGCCACTGCACTCCAGCCTAGGCAACAGAGCAAGACCTTGTTTCCAAAAAAAACCTGTCAGTCTGAAGCAGACCTAACAGATGTGTTTTTACAACATATCTAAAGGTACCTGGCAAGTCACAAACATTGAGTTAATATTTGTTGACTGCATGAGAATAATTTCTCTATTAAATGATATGCCAGGCCGGGCATAGTGGCTCATGCCTATATTCCCAGCACTTTGAGAGGCCAGCGAATGGCTTGAGCTCAGAAGTTTGAGATCATCCTGGGCAACATGGAGAGACCCCTTCTCTGCTAAAAGTACAAAAATGAGCCGGGCGTGGTGGCATATGCCTGTAATCTCAGCTACTCAGAAGGCTGAGGCACGAGAATCGCTTGAGCTTGAGAGGTAGAGGTTGCAGTGAGCTGAGATTGTGCCACTACACTCCAGCCTGGGCGACAGAGTGAGATCCTATCTCAAAAAAAAAAAAAAAAAAAAAAAAAGGCCGGGTGCAGTGGCGCACGCCTGTAAACCCAGCACTTTGGGAGGCCAAGGTGGGCGGATCACCTGAGGTCAGGAGTTCGAGACCAGTCTGGCCAACATGGTGAAACCCCGTCTCTACTAAAAATACAAAAATAAGCCAGGCGTGATGGTGCGCACTTGTGATCCCAGCTACTCGGGAGGCTGAGGCAGGAGAATCGCTTGAACCCAGGAGGTGGAGGTTGCAGTGAGCCGAGATTGTGCCACTGCAGTGCAACCTGGGCAACAGAGCAAGAGTCTGCCTCAAGAAAATAAAAAAGAAAAACAACAACAACAAAACGATATGCCATACATAAGTGGCATGAGACTGGTAATTTATGAAGAACAGAAATTTATTTCTCATAGTCTGGGGGCTGGGAAGTCCAAGAGCAAGGCCCTGGCATCTGGTTAAGGGCCCTTTTGCTGCATCCTCACAGGGTGGAAGGTGGAAGGGGGCAAACCCACTTCTGCAAGCTTTTTTTTAAACAGCAGCATTAATCCATTCATAAGGGCAAAGCCCTCGTGACCTAAACCTCTCCCACTAGGTCCCACCTCCTAACACTGTTGGCATTGGGGATTAGGTTTCCAACAAAGGAATTCTGGGGGACACATTCAGATCATAGCACATACCTAAAACGGAATTACAGAGAAATGAAAGTAAAGGGATGCGCAAAAATAAGTAGGTAAATGAGAGTTCCCCCTAAATCAAATAAAGTAGAAAAGAAGGCAAAAAGCATCAAAATGGAAAATTATGTGGATAAATAACTTTCAGTGAAGATGAAGACTTAGCATTTTGAAAAGTATAGAAATTTTTAAAAACATGTTTGACAGGGTATAGTGGTGCACGTCTGTAATCCCAGCTACTTGGGAGGCTGAGGTGGGGGGATCATTTGATCCCAGGAGTTCAAGGCTGCAGTGAACTTATGATTACACCACTGCACTCCAGCCTGAGCGACAAGGTGAGACCCATCTCTAAAAAACACTGTTTGACGTAATTTGGAACTTTTTTTTAAATATTTCTAACTAAGTAGACAGAAATATACAGAGAAGAGTGAACTTAGGGACTTTGAGAGGATCCATGAATGCCTTGAACACAATTAGATAAAAATACTATTTGTGTAGGATGTTTTTTCTTTTTTTTTGTTTTGTTTTGTGTGTGTGTGTGTGCATGTGTGTTTTGAGACAGAGTCGCTCTGTCACCCTGGCTGCTGGAGTGCAGTGGTGTGGTCTCAGGTCACTGCAACCTCCAGCTCCCAGGTACAAGCAATTCTCCTGCCTCAGCCTCCTGAGTAGCTGGGATTACAGGTGTGCACTGCCACGCCCAAATAATTTTTGTATTTTTTAGTAGAGACAAGGTTTTGCCATGTTGGCCAGGCTGATCTCAAACTGCTGACCTCAAGTGACCCGCCTGCCTCGGCCTCCCAAAGTGCTGGGATTACAGGCGTGAGCCACCGCGCCCGGCCGGTCTTCACTTTTAATTCTAGTTCTCTTGCTATTTTCAGCACATCTGCAGTTACTTCCCATGCTGAAGTCTTGAGCCCGTCAGACTCACCTATGAGGGTTGAAATAATCTTTTTCTTTTTTTTTTTTTTTTTGAGACAGAGTCTTTCTCTGTCACCCAGGCTGGGGTGCAGTGGCCGGATCTCAGCTCACTGCAGCCTCCACCTCCTGGGTTCAAGGGATTCTTCTGCCTCAGCCTCCTGGCTAGCTGGGATTACAGGTGCGCACAACCACACCTGGCTAATTTTTGTATTTTTAGTAGAGACAGTGTTTCACCATGTTAGCCAGGCTGGTCTCGAACTCCTGACCTCGTGATCCGCCCACCTTGGCCTCTCAAAGTGCTGGGATTACAGGCGTGAGCCACCGCACCCAGCCGAAATCATCTTTTTCATATTCGATTAATGTTGATAATGACCTCCTCTCATCAATCCCAAATGTTCTTTTATTTTTTGTGTTTTTGAGACAGGGTCTCACTCTGTTGCCCAGGCTAGAGTGCAGTGGTATAATTGTGGCTCACAGTAGCCTCAACCTCCCCGGGCTCAGGTGATCCTCTTACCTCAGCCTCCCAAGTAGCTGGGACTGGGTGTGTGCTGCCACACCCAGCTAATTTTTTGTCGTTGTTGTTTCACCCCATCTGGTCTTGAACTCCTGGGCTCAAGTGATTTGCCTCTCTCGACCTCTGAAAGTATTGGGATTACAGGCATGAGCCACCATGCCTGGCCAATCCTGAATGTTTTTAATGGCATCTAGAATGCTGAATCTTTTCCAGAAGGTTTTCAATTTACTTTGCCTAGATCTGTCTGAGGAATCACTATCTATGGCCTTAAAATGTTTCTTAAATAATAAGATGTGCAACCTCCGGCTCCCGGGTTCAAACGATTCCTCTGCCTCAGCCTCTCGAGTATCTGGGACTACAGGTGCACGCCACCATGCCTGGCTGTTTTTTTGTATTTTAGTAGAGATGGGGTTTCACCATGTTGGCCAGGATGGTCTCGATCTCCTGACCTCATGATTCGCCTGCCTCAGCCTCCCAAAGTGCTAGGATTACAGGCGTGAGCAACCACGCCCGGCCTTGTTTTTCTTTTTTAGAGAGAGGGTTCCTGTTGCCCAGGCTGGAGTGCAGTGGTAGGATTATAGCTCATTGTAGCCTCAAATTCCTGGGCTCAAGCAATCCTCCTACCTCAGTCTCCTGAGTCACTAAAACAAAAACAAACATACACACACAAAAAAACAAAAAACAAAGACCACTGATCATAAATCACCACAACAAAGTTTGAAATATTGTGAGAGTTACTGACATGTGGCATAGAGACATAAAGTGGGCACGTGCTATTAGAAAAATGGCACCAATACACTTGCTAGATGTAAGATTGCCACAAACATTTGATTTGCTAAAAATACAATGTATATCCCATATACCCCCTAAATATATATACCTACCATGTACCCACAAAAATTAGTAAATCTTGACTGGGCACAGTGGCTCACGCCTGTAATCCCAGCACTTTGGGAGGCCAAGGTGGGTGGATCACTTGAGGCCAGGAGTTTGAGACCAGCCTGGCCAACATGGAGAAACCCCATCTCTACTAAAAATACAAAAATTAACCTCCCAGCGACTCGGGAGGCTGAGGCATGAGGATCACTTGAACCCAGGAGATAGAGGTTACGGTGAGCCAAGATTGCACCACTGCACTCCAGCCAGGGCAACAGAGCGAGACTCTGTCAAAAACAAAAAGAAAAGAAATTAAAAGTAATCTTTAAAAAGTTTTTTAAAAAGACTTGTTACAGGGAAGAAGAAATGTGTCTGTGAGGCGATGGGAAGAGGATACGGCAGTCTTGAGGAGAACTTCCTTGTTTTTCTTTTAGAGATGAGAGCAATGTGAGCCTATTTATAGTTGCAACCTCGCATGGTTCGCAGGAACCTGTGGTAGACATAGGAGAGTCTACCTTGGTGTAAATGACCTGGCAGCTCCCAGAAATCTTCCCCCTTCCTGCTTAGGTAGGAGTTGTTGATGATTGTCTGCACTGGTAGAATGTTCTTCATTTTTACAATGGTTTTTTTTTTTTTTTTGAGACAGAGTCTCACAGCGTCACCCAGACTGGAGTGCAGTGGCCCAATCTCGGCTCACTGCAACCTCCACCACCTGAGCTCAAGCAATTCATGTGCCTCAGTCTCCTGAGTAGCTGGAATTATAGGCATGTGCCACTACAGCTGGCTAATTTTTGTATTTTTAGTAGAGATGGGGTTTTACCATGTTGGTTAGGCTGGTCTCGAACTCCTGACGTCAAGTGATCCGCCCGCTTTGGCCTCCCAAAGTGCTGGGATTACAGGTGTGAGCCACAGCGCCCAGCCTACAATGGCTTTGTATTTAATTCTGTCAGTTGTATTAAAGAAGAATTACTGGGCTGGGTGTGGTGGCTGCCTGTAATTCCAGCACTTTGGGAGGCCAAGGCGGGCGGATCATGAGGTCAGGAGATCAAGACTATCCTGGCTAACACAGTGAAACCCCATCTCTACTAAAAATACAAAAAAATTAGCCGGGCGTGGTGGCACGCACCTCTAATCCCAGCTACTCAGGAGGCTGAGGCAGGAGAATGGCATGAACCCGGGAGGCGGAGCTTGCAGTGAGCTGAAATTGTCTCAAAAAAAAAAAAAAAAAGAAGAATCACCAAAATATAAACTCAACTAATGATGGAAAAGAAATGTCACACAAAACATTAGACCTTCAGTGGGTCAGAGTGTCACTTATTTGCTTAACTCCTAAGTGGTCTCTTAAGGGAATCAGGGGTGTTTTGGAAAGGGGACATTTCTAAGTTAGTCTTGTTAAGTATCAGTCTTGAGGGTGCCAGTTCCAGCTGTGTTTTTTTTGTTGTTTTTTTTTTTTTTTTTTTGAGACGGAGTCTTGCTCTGTTGCCCAGGCTGGAGTGCAGTGGCGTGTTCTTGGCTCACTGCAACCTCTGCCTCCTGGGGTTCAAGCAATTCTCCTGCCTCAGCGTCCTGAGTTGCTGGGATTATAGGTGCCAACCACCACACCTGGCTAATTTTTTTATTTTTTATTTTTAGTAGAGACGGGGTTTCACCATGTTGGCCAGGCTGGTCTCAAACTCCTGACCTCTTGATCCACCTGCCTCAGCCTCCCAAAGTGCTGGGATTACAGGTGTGAGCCACTGTGGCCGGCCTTAGCTGTGAGATTTTATGTAATTTTCTTAGCTTTACTGAGACTGAATCTTCTCACCTGAAAAGGAGGGATGAGAGGACATCCTCATGAAGGTTAGCAGTTGTGTAGAATGACTAGCATTCTATGGACACTGAGTTCATGGTAGGTGCTCATATTGTTGTTAAGCCTGGTATAAGTAAGGTGGCAAGGATTGCTACTCTGATATCTTATTTTTCTCCCCTGCATGTCACTGCTTTGTTATAATCATATCTGACCATTGCAATTAGATTTTAGTTTGTGTTTTTTCACAATAATCAGTTCCATAGGGACAGCCTACAATTTAGTTCAGCACTGTCAGTTCAGCTTGAATAGAATGTGACACTTAACCGATTTGTTTTTATTTATTTATTTGTTTATTTTTGAGACGGAGTCTTGCTCTGTCGCCCAGGCTGGAGTGCAGTGGCGCAATCTCGGCTCACTGCAAGCTCCGCCTCCCAGGTTCACGCCATTCTCCTACCTCAGCCTCCCGAGTAGCTGGGACTACAGGCACCCGCCACCACGCCCGGCTAATTTTTTGTATTTTTAGTAGAGACAGGGTTTCACCGTGTTAGCCAGGATGGTCTCGATCTCCTGACCTCGTGATCCGTCAGCCTTGGCCTCCTAAAGTGCTGGGGTTACAGGCGTGAGCCACCGCGCCCAGCCCTATTTGTTTTTATTTTTATTTATTTTAACTGATTTTTTTTTTTTTTTTTTTTGTGAGACGGTGTCTCGCTCTGTCGCCCAGGCTGGAGTGCAGTGGCGCGATCTCGGCTCACTGCAAGCTCTGCCTCCCAGGTTCATGCCATTCTCCTGCCTCAGCCTCCGGAGTAGCTGGAACTACAGGCTCCCACCACCACGCCTGGCTAATTTTTTGTATTTTTAATAGAGACGGGGTTTCACCGTGTTAGCCAGGATGGTCTCCATCTCCTGACCTCGTGATTCACCCGCCTTGGCCTCCCAACGTGCTGACATTACAGGTGTGAGCCACCGTGCCCGGCCAACTGATTTGTTTTTAAACCAAAGACCTAGCATGGAAGGGCTTTATCATGCTGGGTAGACTGTACCATTTTTAGCACCTCAGTGACCATCTAAAGACTAGAAACCAACCTTGGAGTAACACTGGGAGGCTTTTGGCTTTTGTTTTTGTTGCATCAGGTTCAGCTTCTACAGGATTAGAATGATTGTTATTTTAACAATGGATTACAGAAATGTGTCTGTTCAAAATCCATCTGTAATGGTAATACTGTATTCATCAGTGGTAGAGCAGGAGTCATTCTGGGGAAATCGGCCATGAGCCTGTTGACAATAGGCTATTTTGGGAAGCTGAATGTGTTAAACAAACAACAAAGACTGAAAATGAATAAACTGCTGATTTTCACGTGAGAGCTAATTTTAGTTCCTGGGCCTCCCTGTGATCTCTGAAATGAGAATGAGAAAAGATCTTGCCTGTCTGTGTTCAGGTTTTTTGAATGTCCCAGAGTGCTAACGTGACCTAGATTCTTAACTAGTGAAGTCGAGTGACTTGACTTTGCCCAACAAAAGTATTTTTGACACTCAGACTAGTGTCTGGATCTTTTCAGAAAAGAAAATAAACAACAAAGTCTAACAATCAGCTCTTCATTGGTGTTCACTTTATTTCCTTCCATGAAACTAGCCTCAGCTTAATGTCTTGTACTTTTTTAGGATATAGTTCCTTGTGAATAAATTGTGTGCTCTAGTTCATCATTTTGTAAGTTGAATATATATATATATTTGAATAACAAGAATTGTTTATGTAAGCAACAACTTTCTTTGAAGGCCCTTGGAAAACATTAATTACATTGTTCTCTTGCCCAAAATGTCTCTTGAAGCTTTATGATGAGCCCTACAGCTGCAGCACTATCTTTTGGTGATTGCTGTCACTGTGTTACAGAGAGCAGATATTCTAGAACCAAGGACCTGTTTTCTGGTTTTCAAAAAAGGAATTATTTTTTACTATACAGACATTATAGACCCCTTAATGGGAAAATTAGAGAAATATATTTTTCCTAACTACATTTATAATGGTAATGTCACATACATACAAAAAGTCAGTTCTTTCACCCTAAAAGATGAAATTAGTCCGTAATCTCATCTTTCTAAGCCCTTGTCTTTATTCATACGTAGGAATTTTTGTGGTTGTAGTTGTAGTTACATACAATCATTCGTCGTCTTCTCCCCCATTTGACATTATACTGTAAGCATTTTGCATAAAGTTACAAAAGCTGTAATACATCCCCCCAAGCGAGTACAGTGCAGTCATTAAAAAGAATAAGACTGGGCTGATCCACATACACTTGTATGAAGAGAGTTTACATATTTAGTTAAAAAAAAAGTGGAATTATGTAATTAAATGTGTTTAGATAATACAGAAATGTGAGGTGAAGGAAGTCTCCACCCGACGCATCTACCCACCTGCGTGCATATCGAGTCCCTACTTACCTTCCAGACTTTTCCTCTGCATCTGTTTATACAGGGTCTTTTTGTTTTGTTTTTACAAGAATGCAATCAGAATGTACATATATACTTCTACTCAACTTCTTTTTCAAACGTAATATATTGAGGAACGCTCTTCATACAAGTATATGTAGATCAGCCTAATCTTATTCTTTGTAATAACTGTATAGGATTTTCTTGCATGGTTATATTATAGCTTATTTAGCCAATTCCATACTGATTACTTTTAGGTTGTTCCTAAATTTTCTGTAGTACAAAACTTAAATTTAACAGTTCCTCTTTTATCACTGGACTTATTTTTCTTTCTTTTTAAGCTTCACTGAATTTAGGGTAAGTCACTGGGCATTGCTAGGAAATCGCAGTATTCGTTTTTTTTTTTTTTTTTGAGTCTCGCTCTGTCATCCAGGCTGGAGTGCAGTGGCGTGATCTTGGCTCACTGCAACCTCCACCTCTCAGGTTCAAGCGATTCTCCTGCCTCAGCCTCCTTAGTAGCTGGGGTTACAGGCACGTGCCACCACGCCCAGCTAATTTTTTTTGCATTTTTAGTAGAGACGGGATTTCACCGTCTCTATTAAATGGCGATTACAGTTGCCTGCCACCACGCTCGGCTAATTTTTGTACTTTTAGTGGAGACGGGGTTTCACCGTGTTGGCCAGGCTGCTCTCAAACTCCTGACGTCAGGTGACCTGCCTGCCTCGGCCTACCAAAGTGCTGGGATTACAGATGTGAGCCACTGCGCCCGGCCGAAATCACAGTATTCTTAACTATGCCTGGAAAGGGCAAAGAGGTGTTTGGATGACTAGATTTTTCTTTTCTGTTAGTTGCTCTTTAGTTAGCATAGGAATGGCATTTAAAAGATCAGCCTGAAGGCCTGGCTTCAAGCTGCTTTATGCTTGTAATCACAACATTTTGGGAAGCTATTGCTTGAGGCCAGGAGTTCAAGATCAGCCTGGTCAATATAGTGAGACCCCTTCTCTACAAAAAATAAAAAAAAATAAAAAAAAAAGAATGAAAAGTTTAGCTTGATTGATCGAGGTACAATTTTTTATTTTGCCAGTAGGATTTTGGATTCTTTGGTTAACTTAGGGTTATCAGTAATGGTTGTTTCCATTGTTTCAGGATCTGTGTTTTTGTATATTACTATCTAATTGCTTATTTGACCCATGAGAGTGTTTAAAAAGTGGACATTTTCTTCAATAAGTCTTCTGTATCAGAGAGTTGAAAAGTGGGAAGGATGTCAGTACAGTACGCGAATAATAATTTAAGGCCACTTAATTTTTTTTATTGTTGTGAGAAACGCAACGTAGAATGTCCCATCTTAATCCAGTTTAAGTGTACAGTGTGTTAACCCTGTGCTTGTTGTTGTGCAGATTTCTAGAACCTTTTCATGAGTTAGACTACTTTAGATACCTTTACCTTAAAGTAGAATCATGCAGTATTTGTTGTTTTTGACTCGCTTATTTCACTTAGCTTGATATCCTCAAAGACTTATCCATGTTCTAGCACGTGACAGGATTTCCTTTTTTTTGTTTTTTTTAATTTGTTTTTTTGGTGGGTGGGGAACGGAGTCTTGCTCTGTTGCCCAGGCTGGAGTGCAGTGGCACTATCTCTGCTCACTGCAACCTATCCGCCTCCCGGGTTGAAGCGATTCTCCTGCCTCAGCCTCCCGAGTAGCTGGGATCATAAGCGCCCACCACCAAGCCTGGCTAATTTTTGTATTTCTAGTAGAGATGGGGTTTCACCATATTGGCCAGGCTGGTCTCAAACTCCTGACCTCAGGTGATCTGCCCACCTCAGCCTCCCAAAGTGTTGGGATTACAGGCGTGAGCCACTGCGCCGGGCTGGGATTTCCTTCTTTTTAAAGGCAGAATAGTATTCCATTTTGTGTATATACCACATTTGCTTTATCTGTTAATCTGTCAGTGGACCTTTAGGTTGCTTTCACCTCTTGGCTGTTGGGGTTAATGCTGCAGTAAATATGGGTGTGCAGATATCTTTTTGAGGTCCTGTTTTCAAATCTTTTGAGGTTTTTTTCATTTTTTAGAGTTGAAATTGTCTATATTTAAGGTGTACTGCATGATTTTTATTTTATTTTATTTATTTTATTTTATTTGAGACTGGGTCTTGCTCTGTTGCCTGGGCTGGAATACAGTGATGCGATCACAGCTCACTGTAGCCTTGACCTCCTGTGCTGAGTGATCCTCCTGCCTCAGCCTCCTGAGTAGCTAAGATTATAGGTGTCTGCCACCACATCTGGCTAATTTAAAATTTTTTTTTGTAGAGACAGGGTCTCTTTTTGTTGCCCAGGCTGGTCTTGAACTCCTGGGCTCAAGCAATCCTCCCGCCTCAGCCTCCCACAGTGCTGGGATTACAGGTGTGAGCTTCCACACTCTGCCCTCATTTAATCTTTAGCTGATTCCACAGTGGTTTCTAACTCTACCACTACCAAAGCAGCTCTTTAAAAGGTCTCCAGCAGCCTCATGTCACTGACTCTGATTTTCAGGGCTCCGTTGCCTTCTGAGCAGCAGGTCACTCTGCTGGTTGGTTTATCCTTCATGGATACCCTCTTGCCTTGGCCTCCTCAGCACCACACTGGAAAACTGGTTTTCCTTCTTCCACTCTGGTGTTCCTTTGTCTCCTTGTGGAACTTCCTCTGTAATGACTGTGCATACAGCTATTAAAGGAGTTTTCAAAGCTTGCGCCGCAGCTCTCTTTCCTTCGCACTTTATATTTTCTCCTTCATCGCTGTTATCCGTGCCAGGGCTTCACTTGTTTGTTTGCAAATCACTTACATGTTTATTTCTACACACCTCTTCTCTGGGCTCCATCTCCGCTTAAATGTCTCAGATGCAGCTCAGATTTATATTTCTCTTCAAAAACGGTTCTCTGCCAGAGTTACTAACTTCAGTTAGGGTGGCACCGCCTATCCTGTTGAGCAAGCTAGAACCTTGGGAGACTCATGTGAAACACAGCATCCCTTAGCTCACATATCATTTCGTTGCTAAATCTCACAGATGTTCTCTCCAAAATATCTCTAATTCCTTTCACTTTTCCCTATCTCTGCCATTGCTACCTTTATCTAGATATAGCCTTTTTTTTTTTTTTTTTTTTTTTGAGACAGGATCTCACTCTGTTGCCCAGGCTGGAGTGCAGTGGTACAATTTCGGCTCACTGCAGCCTCCACCTCCCAGGCTCAAGTGATCCTCCCACCTCAGTACCGCGCCCTACTCCCACTCCCCCGCCTAGAGTAGCTGGGAACACAGGTGCATGCCACCACACCACCACACTGACTAATTTTTGTATATTTTATAGAAATAGGGTTTCACCATGCTACCCAGGTTGGTCTCAAACTCCTGGACTCAAGCCATCCACCCACCTCAGCCACCCAAAGTGCTGGAATTACAGTTGTGAGCCACCACACCCAGCCTTTATCTAGCCTCTTAACGCAGGTATAGCAGTAGCTTCCTAATTAGAGCCTTTGCTTCCACTTTGTTCCAACTTTATTCTATACCATACCTAAATCCTTAACATAGAATATACTTTTATCAGCTGGGTGCAGTGGCTCACACCTGTAATCCCAGCACTTTGGGAGGTCGAGGCGGGCAGATCATGAGGTCAGGAGATTGAGACCATCCTGCCTGACACGGTGAAACCCCGTCTCTACTAAAAATACAAAAAATTAGCTGGGCATGGTGGTACATGCCTGTAGTCCCAGCTACTCGGGAGGCTGAGGCAGGAGAATTGCTTGAACCCGGGAGGCGTAAGTTGCAATGAGCCGAGATCTCGCCATTGCACTCCAGCCTGGGTGACAGAGCGAGACTCTGTCTCAAAAAAAAAAAAAGAGTAGTATCCTGGTGTGATTATTAATAGTTTTTCTTTCACTTTCAGAAAGTTTCAGACTGGACATGATAAAATTATATGGTCACTCTAATTATAATGCCCTACGTAATCTGGAACCTGCCTTCCTCCCCAGCTTCACCTTGAACTATATACGCTTACTTTGCTCTCTGCATTTGAGGCACAGTGACTGTCTCTTAGTACCTGGAATGCTCCAGAAGTTCTGCCTTAGGGTCTTTGTACTTGCGGTTTGCTTTACCTAGGACCCTAGAATGCCACGTTCCCTTCCCTTCGTTCCTTCCTTTGTGAATTTTTCTTCCATTGTCAGTTCTTAGCTTAGTTGTCTGTGCAGGGAAGCCTCCTCTGACCTTCCTAAGGCAGATCCACTAATTAGGGGGGGTCAGTAGTATCTTTTACCTGTCTTTTATAGCATCTGTCGCAGTTATAGTTTTACAGGTATTTAAGTGATTTCTGGATAATACCTATCCTCCGCCAGACCGTCCGCTTCAGAAAGGGAGGGATTGTCTGTGTTTGCTTACTGCAATATCCCTAGCATTTTGCGTAATACCTGGCACATAGTTGACACTTAATAACTATTTGTTGAATGAATAAAGGAATGCATGCCAGCTGTCACAGTTTCTTAAAAATTCTGACCTATTCTGTATACCTCAGTTGAACAAAGTAGTGCTCAAAATAAACATTTTTATATTTCACTTTTAAAAGTAGAGTAGCCAAGTACCCCAACTTTCTTTACAATTCTACTGTTTACAATTGAGTAGAGCAGTGGTCTCCAACCTTTTTGGCACCAGGGACCAGTTTCACGGATGACAATTTTTTCATGGACCTGTGGTGGGGGAGGGGTGATTTCGGGATGATTCAAGCGCATTACATTTATTGTACATTTATTACGTTGTATTATTTCATGTAATGAAATAATTATACAACTCACCATAGTGTAGAATCAGCTTGTTTTCCCGCAGCTTGTTTCCCCTCAGCTAGACGGTCCCATATGGGGGTGATGGGAGACAGTGACAGATCATCAGGCTTTAGATCCTCAAGGAGTGCTCAACCTAGATCCCTCGCATGCGGCGTTCCCAGGAGGGTTCACGCTCCTGTGAGAATCTAATGCTGCGCTGATCTGACAGGAGGCGGAGCTGAGGCAGTAATGTGAGCAATGGAAAGTGGCTGTAAATTCAGATGAAGCTTTGCTTGCCTCTCACCTCCTGCTGTGCGGCACAAGTCCTAACAGGCCAGGGACCAATATCAGTCCATGGCCCAGGGGTTGGGGACTCCTGTAATAGAGGGTGCGGCCCATTAGCCTGTGAATTGTATAAGGCTTGCAGTTATTATTTATTGCCCATATTAATCTTAAGAATCAGATCCATTTCATATGAAAACATGGATCACTGGTTTTGTTTGAAAGTATTAGAGAGCTGGCAAAACCGGGCTGGCAAATCCACACAACATTAACTACTTAGAGTGGTGGTCACCAGGCGCGGTGGCTCACACCTGTAATCCCAGCACTTTGGGAGGCCGAGGCAGGCAGTATGCCTGAGGTCAGGAGTTCAAGACCAGCCTGGCCAACATGGCGAAACCCCGTCTCTACTAAAAATACAAAATTAGCCGGGCATGGTGGTACATGTCTGTAGTCCTATCTACTCAGGAGGTTGAGGCAGAAGAGTCGCCTGAAGCCGGGAGGTGGAGGTTGCAGTGAGCTGATATTGCGCCATTGAACTCCAGGCTGGGCGACAAGAACGAAACTTCGTCTCAAAAAAAAAAAAAGAACAGAGTAGTGGTCATAACCTTTGAAATGGTCATTTGTGGCATCTGGCATAGTGCTACTAAAAGTGGTTATTGAACTGGCTGCTTAACCACAGACTATTTGTTACTGTCCACAGAGATAAGGACCTTGTGCCGTATGTTTAGGTTACCTCACATTTCTTTGGTTTAATTGACTTTTTAATGTGTTGTTTACATTCTGGCACAAGCTCTTTATCTTGTCAGGGACTGGCATTTTGAGTAGTACCAATAGCTATTCCTTATAAATATTTTGAAACCCCTGATTTTCACAATTACTTTGAAATGCCAGTGCAAAATAGCAATACTTTTGTTACTATTTACTGCCCTTAGATAATACTCTTTATCAAGCTTATTTTATAAGTAAGTTACTAAGTTTCTTTAATAGAGATTTTTCTGAAAACTTTTTTCTCCTCAAATTCCTTTTACCATGAAATTTTACGTTTGAGATATTAAGCCTTTGAACATAGACATGGGATATTTTTCCTTTTGTGTGTTTAGCAGTGAAATTTAGTTAATAGGTCAGGCTACCATTCTCGAGTTAAAGACACGAATGTGTTTGAATGCCTTAGCATGGTACTTAGATGTGAACTTCTTCGTCATATGTAAAACTTGACTTTCATTCCTATGTCATTGAAGGAAATGGAATTGGCCCATTTTTCTCACACACTTGACTGATTTCACAGGAATAAAATATTCTCGTTAGAAGTAAAACTGAAGTGCTTATAGATTTTATACCTTTTTATTGCTCATCATTTATCTTGTTGATCCTGAGTTTATACTGCTTTTAGTCGAGTAAGAAATACAAAGATAGTGCAAATCTTTTTTTTATGTGAAAATTGATTGAGGCCATTGCGTGCTATTGAGTAAAGCAGAAATGTGTTCGTGGTTGTTGCCCCTGGATTAACCCTCTTTTATTAGCCCCCATAAATGACAAAATTAATACATATCCAATTCTGATGTCTAAGAATAAACTTAATACCCCTTTAAATAGACTTAATGTATTTTAATGAGACTTTTAATTGCTAGCATATATTTATGCAATAAACTTCTGCTTCCACTGTCCTATAGAAGCTGTTCTTTAAAACCAACACCCACAGAAATGGAGTCAGTCACTTTTTAAAGTTATTATTCTCTTGACCTCCATCAGCATTTTATATTTTTAACCCATTCTACATAGTTGCTCATTTAATCCTTTTGATCCAAAAATTAAGGTTGTCTGTTGTGAAATAACTCCTATTTTCATTTTTATTTGTAGTTGTCTGGGATACTTTTGGTTAAGCTTTTATTTTCAACCTTTGGATCATTTTGTTTTAGCCGTAGTTTTTGTTTAAAACAGTTTATTGTAATTAGTTGGTTTTGTCTTTTGTAATCTAATCTGAGAGTATTATGAGTTTACTATTTACATTCATTTCACATTCATTTTATATCATGCTTTGTTCTTGCTGCTTTTTTTTTTTAACACTATATGATCTGATTTTCACCTACCTTTCCTTTACTGCCCCTGATTTTATTTGATTATATTATTTATCTTCATTCTTCTAGTGTTAATATTATTATTATTATTATTTTTGAGACAGGGTCCCACTCTGTCACCCAGGCTGGAGTGCAGTGATGGGATCTTGGCTCACTGCAGCCTTGATCTCCTGGGCTCAAGTGATCCTCCTGCCTCCTGCGTAGCGGGGACCGCAGGCTCACACAACCACCATACTCCACATCCAGCTAATTTTTGTACTATTTGTAGAGACGGGCTTTCGCCATGTTGCCCAGGCTGGTCTCAAGCTCCTGAGCTCAAGCAGTCCGCCCACCTCGGCCTCCCAAAGTGCTGAGATTACAGGTGTGAGCCATTGGGCCCAGCCAGTTTATCTTCCTAAATGTGTGCTTCTATCTCTGCTACTTAGTTTATCAGCCTTAAATGAAGTCTTTTGACCCTGTGTATAAAAGCTGAGGCACTCCCTCTCCATTTCCTGTTTCCTGTCCCGAATTTTGATTATGTGTATGTTGTCGTGGTTTGTAAACACTTACATTTTATTATGTAGCCACGGTTCACAGGTGTTTTCATCTTAGCTCTCTGGTTAAAATGGCTTAACTGCTCAGTGCCAGTTGTTTTGCTATACAGTAAGTCCTCAGTTAGTGTTGCCAGTAGATTCTTGGAAACTGCGACATGAATGAAATGATGTATAGCAGGTCCTCTAATAACGTCATTTCCTTATAAGTGATGAGAAAAAAATTGATTTTGTTACGTATGGTTTCGCTTAAAGTCAAAGAACCTATTGTCAATGTTAAGTGAAGACTTACTGTAGTTCCTTAATTTATCTCAATTGATTAACTTTTTCCATTAGGAATTTCTTCACAAAGAGCTCGTGAAAACTCTACTCCTTGAGTTCCTGTATACTCAAAATGTTTATCTGTTGTCATTATAATCAAAGTAAGTTTGGCTGAGCATAAAATTGTGTCACACTTTTTTTCCTCTAAGGGCTTTGTAGTCACTGTTCTTTTGTCTTTTACTATTGAATGGTGCTGTGTGGACATCTAAAAGCAGCCTCATGTACCCTACTGCGTCCCTAACCCCAAAATCAATTGTTTAGCTTACTTGCCTAGATATCTAAAGGATTTTTTTTTCTTGTAAGCCTTAAAGTCTGGTAATTTTTTTAGGTGTTGGTATTTCTAATTCTGTATCTTTTCCTGGGAACATAGTGAGCCTTCTATTTCTGGAAAGTTACCTTGAATCATGTCTTTGAATATTTCTTTATTCTAATCCTTTGGTTCTCTTATTCAGAATCCCCAGTTATCTGCAAGGGGGTCTTCATTATTAACCTCTCTTATGTTTACTACTTTTTCTTTACTTTTTAAAACTTCTTGCTCCTTTCCATTTCATTTGTTTATTGAGATATAGTTCATATACTATAAAATTCACTCTCATAACTTGGTGGTTTTTAGTATATTGACACGTGTACAACCATGGCCACTCTCTCCTTCCTGAATTTTGTTTAATTGTGCCTGCTTTTTTGGGTCTTGCTTGCTGTATCCCTTTCTCTTCTTCTCTGTATCGTTGAAGCATATAATACCAGTTTGTTTCATAATTAGGGGTATTAACTTTGGTCACTTCGTTAAGGGGGTATCTGTCAGATTTCTTCATTTTACTGTTATTTTATCCTTTCATAATCTGATAATTGATATCATTATCAAGGTAGTTGATAATTTGTGGGGAAGTACGTTGTGACTGTGTAAATATCCTGGGTTTTTTTTTTTTTTGTCATTGTTTCTTTTTTTTCTGAAACATGGTCTCACTCTGTCATCCGTACGGGAGTGCGGTGGCTTCATCTAGGCTCACTGCAACCTCTGCCCCTTCCAGGTCCAAGCAATTCTGCAAGCTCAGCCTCCTGAGTAGCTGGGACTAAAGGTGCATGTGCCACTATGCTTGGCTAATTTTTGTAATTTTTGATAGAGATGGAGTTGCACCATGTTGGCCAAGCTGGTCTTGAACTCCTGACCTCAAGTGATCCATCTGCCTTGGCCTCCCAAAGTGTTGGGATTACAGGTGTGAGCTGCCGTGCCCAGCCCAATATCCTGTTTTTCAACAAACTTTTACTCATTATTTTTAGCATCCATTGATAATTCTTAATTGAAACAATTATTAGCATGGCGATTGCCAAATGTAATTATCTAACTCTTTCATTACTTCTACATTTAAGGATGGACTCATGTATTTTATTCTATGGTCTATAATCCTTTGTTAGCCTTCTTCATTCACATTGACACAGATTTGGCCAAAGGGAGCCCCATCAAGCAGGGTCTAGTGTACTTCTGATTTGTTTCTATCTTCCTTTCAGCATGTCCTGTTTTCTAATACAATAAAATGCTTCGGGTTTATCTTGTACTTCCCTTTCCAATTCTGGAATAACCATTTATCCAAGGAACTCCGATTCCTTTGGGGAGTGCTATTTGGAAACCAAGGTCTGGCACTCTAGGTATGCTCGTAGCGATGGGAGCGTCATTGCTTCCAGGCTCTGGCTGTGTCTCTTCAGGGTCCACTATAGTCATCCTGTTTCTGTCTGCTGTAGATTATATTAAAGCTTCATTCTTCATCCCTTCCATTTTCCTCCCTATAAGTTAGTGTCTGGAAGCATTCTTAGAGGTCAGACGAAATCATTATATTCAGGTATGGAATGCAATTTTTGTATAGATAACAAATCTATATTCATGAAATCTGATGCTGCCCATCATCCATCTTTTTGCAAGGTCTTTTCCTGTGAAAGGTATGTTTTTTCTTTTCTTTTCTTTTTTTTTTTTTTTTTGAGACAGAGTCTCTCTCTGTCACCTAGGCTGAAGTGCAGTGGCACAGTCTCGGCTCACTGCAACCTCTGCCTTCCGGGTTCAAGCGATTCTCCTGCCTCAGCCTCCTGAGTAGCTGGGATTACAGGCATGCGCCACCATGCCTGGCTGATTTTGTATTTTTAGTAGAGTTGGGGTTTCTCCATGTTGGTCAGGCTGGTCTCGAACTCCCAACCTCAGGTGATCCACCCACCTCAGCCTCCCAAAGTGGTAGGATTACAGGTGTGAGCCACCGTGCCCGGCCAGTCCTTTACTTTTATAGGTGGAGAAACTGAGACCTAAGAACTGAAGTGACTTACGTCCATGGCAAATTGATTGCAGAGCCAAAAGTGGAGTCCAGATCTCCTAACTTCCATACTAGAACATTTTTGCTGTGGGGAGTGGAGAGAGATTGGGTTGATGGTACCTGCCTGAAGTTTCCATGGTTGCTGGGTGGAAACAGCACTCTTCCTTCTGTCTTGGCACTCAAGCATCCCGATGGACATTGAATTTTTCCAATGATTGGTCATTTGATGACCAGGCAGGGGAGCAGAAAAGGAGATAGTACAGACCAGAAGCTGTTTGAGGATGTGTTGTTGCCTGACCAGACACCTTGAGGCCAGAATTCTAAGTAGTTTCAAAACTCCTCCCTTTCATACCCCATCTACTGACTTTCTGCTTTCTTCAAAATGCTCTGTTGGCCAGGTGCAGTGGTTCACGCCTGCAATCCCAACACTTAGGCTGAGGCGGGAGGATTACATGGGCCCAGGAGTTCAAGACCAGTTGAGGCAACATAAGGGGCTGGGCCCTTTTCTCTACGAAAAAAAAAAAAAAAAAAAGCTTAGTGTGGTGGTATGCACCTGTAGTCCCAGCTACTTGTGGGGCCGAGGCAGGAGGGTCACTTGAGCCTGGGAGGGTGAGGCTGCAGTGAGCCATGATCACACCGTGCATTCCAGTCTGGGAGACAGTGAGGACCTGGCTCAAAAACAAAACAAAACAAAACAAAACCCACAAAAACCAAAAAAGACCCTGCTCTGTTTATAAATAAGGTCTGTTGATATTCTTTTTTAATATTTTCAGTTTAGCAGTATTTTGACATCAACATAGTTATATTGGTACAAGTTTCTTAAAAGGTTAAATACAAATATATCTTATGATCCATTCCTGACTGTCTACCCAAGAGCAGCGAAAACGTATGTCCACACAAAGACTTGTATGTAAATGTTCATAGCAGCATTGTTCGTGATGGTCAACAATCCATCATGACCGTGATGGAAACAACCCAGATGTTCAGGAACTGGTGAATGGATAAACAAAATGTAGTCATTCTTACTATGGAACATTATTCGCCCATAAAAAGAAGTGAAACACTGACAAGTTACAAAATGGATGAACCTCACAAACTTGTGTTAAGTGACCAGAAGACCTCATTATGATTTCAGTTACTTGAAGTGTCCAGAAAAGGCAAATCTATGAAGACAGAAAGTACATCAATGGTTGCCTCAGGCTAACGTTGGAAATGAGGAAAGACATGCAAATGGTCATGAGTTCTGCTTTTTGGGGTGATAGGAGTGTTCTAAAAGTGGGTTTTGGTGATGGTTGCACGACTCTGTTAATATACTAGAAACTATTCAATTGTACACTTACAGGTGAATTTTATAGTATGTGAATTATACTTCATAAAGCTTTAAAAAGTTACATTTAAAATTTGATGTCTGTAATATTTGTCATATTTAAGTATCTTATCCTGTGTTCATATTAAACATTTTTATACTGACTTCTTTCCACTTTTAAGTAGGATTTTCAAGGAATGCTAATGTCAGATGATGTTAATGGTAAGAGTAAAAACAGCTAGCATTTGTAAAATAGTTATTATGCACCAGACATTATGCTAAGTACTTCTCAGGTCATCTCACAGTAGCATTGTGATATTGGTATTACTGTCCTCATTTCACAGCAGAGGAAACACTTTCATAGAGGTAAATGACTTGTTCAAAGTCACACAGTGAGGAGACGACGAGACAGGAATTTGAGCCGAGTCATTTAATCTCTGTGCTCCATATACGGATATGCAGTGTTTTTGGTGGAGGATTGTACTGATTTTCATAAGCTGTGACTGTGTGAAACACTCGTGTATGTGCCACTGGGATGAGTGCTCTGTGTAACTGTGTGTGATCTCCCTGGGAGGTTCGGATGGGTATTTGGTTCTGCCTGTTTGCCGTAGAGCTTGTACAACATAGTGAATCTTACTAATCAGTTTTACTTCCTTTTCTTTATTCCTCAGCCTTAATTTTAAAGACCCCGAAGCAGTCAGAGCTCTGACGTGTACTCTCCTAAGGGAAGATTTTGGACTTTCTATTGATATTCCATTGGAGAGACTAATTCCCACAGTTCCCTTGAGACTCAACTATATTCACTGGGTAGAAGATCTGATCGGTCACCAGGATTCTGACAAAAGTACTCTCCGAAGAGGAATTGACATAGGTATATCATTTTAAATTCTTTTTTGGCTAAACAGTTTTCATAAGTTTTGCGAGATCAAATTCTTTGTAAACTTTTCTACTGGGTATTTGTTGTTGTACAAAAGAAGCTGGCTACAGATACAGGTTGAGCATCCTTAATCCGAAAATCCGAAATGCTTCAAAATCTGCAACCTTTGAGCACTGATGTGTTGCTCAAAGGCAATGTGCGTTGGAGCGTTCCAGATTTGGGGGTTAGGGATGTTCAGCCTGTAAATATAGTGCACATATTTCAAAATCTGAAAAAAAAATTGAAATCCAAAACACTTCTCATCCCAAGCATTTTGGATTAGGGATCCTCAGCCTGCATTACCGTTCTTTTTTACTACACCTGGCCTTTTCTCCCACTGATTTCTCTTGAGAAGGGATTGTCAGTCCAAACAGGGAGCAAGAGGTTAAGGGAAGTACAAAATGAAAATGAGGCTCTTATTTATATAGCTTTTCATTTTATTTTTTTAATTTAAAAATTTTTTTATTTTGAGATGGGGTCTCGTGTTGCCCAGGTTGGTCTTGACTCCTGGGCTCAAGCAGTCCACCTGCCTTGGCTTCCCAAAGTGCTGGGATTACAGGCATGAGCCACTACGCCTGGCCCTATTTAGCTTTTCAGATTACCACTTTGATGTCTGTGTCTGTTGGGCTTTATTTTTACTCTGGATTATTTGATGTGTTCGTATTCTGATTTTTTTTTTTTTTTGAAACGGAATTTTGCTCTTGTCGCCCAGGCTGGAGTGCAATAGCACGGTCTCGACTCGTTGCAACCTCCGCCTCCCGGGTTCAAGCAATGCTCCTGCCTCAGCCTCCCAAGTAGCTGGGATTACAGGTGCCTGCCACCACCCCTGGCTAATTTTTGTATTTTTAGTAGAGGTGGGATTTCACCATGTTGATCAGGTTGTTCTCAAACTCCTGACGTCAGGTGATCCGCCTGCCTCGTCCTCCCAAAGTGCTGGGATTACAGGCGTGAGCCACCATGCCCAGCCTCTATTTCTAACTGAGTAGAACTAATAGCAGTCCTAATTTCTAGATAGCAGTAAATGTTTAACTTTGATATTTGCATGCATTTTCAGCCCTCATCCTACATGATCTTTTCAGCGGCATTTATTGATCCCTCCTTTCTCTTTTGTTCACTCTCCTTCATTGGCTTCCATGACACCAGACTGCTGGTTTCCTCTTTCATTTCTTTGCACTGTTCTCCACTTTTCAGGCATACCTTCCTGTAGCTGACCACTAGATACTGGTATTCCTTGCATAAGGCTCAGCCTTTAGCTCCTTTCTCACTCAGCACCCTACCCTGGTAATTGCATTCACTTCTATGACGATTTCCCAACTCCATGCAAATAAATCACATATTTATATGTTCCTCCAACTCAGATTACTTTCCTTGACCTCCAATCTCATATATATGAGAAACTTGGATTTCTGAAAAACATCTCAGACTTGCTATGTCCAAGACCAAACCCACACTCTGTTTCCCTAATCCTGGTTCTCTTTGTTTCTTGTTTCAGTGAGTCTACCATAGTCCACCCTGTGGTCCTTGATACTTGCTTCTCCACATGCAGTGAAAAAATATCTATCACTGTTTCCTGTTGACTTTGTCTCTTAAATACTTCTGAAATCATCTACTTCTCTCCATCTCCACTGCCATCCTAGCCAAGTCATCGTCTCTCACCTTTCTGCATTTCTCACCTCTTCTGCTTCTCAGCTAGTTTGCTTAAAAAGCTTGACAGCCTAGTTGGTACTAATTTGATTTTAATTATGCCCCAAACCCTCTAAAATAGCACTTGGGGATAGAGGAGGTTAATGGATTTCAATTCTTCACAAGGGGCACTACCTAACTGCAATCACATCCATTCTAATTAGGGTTTTATATAAATTCTTCCCCCAGACTCCATCAGTTTGCTCTAATTCTACCATTATGTACTTTCCATTTTTATTTGTCATTACAAAGATTATTACCCATTTAAAAATGTCATTTGGCTTTCTGAGGGGATTTCATTCTGTCCTGTAAAGGACTAGTAGAGAATCTGTTGCGTTCTATTAGAGTGCAAGTCTTTGGGTCTTAAGAATTAAGAAACTTTTTTTGGCGCTGACAAATCTTTTATGTGTATTTATTACCCTGGAGGTAAGTGTACTTTTTTATCTTTTAAATGAAATTGAAGTTTGAAGAGAGAGGCAGTTGTATAAAAGTCAAGGATCTGGTCTGGATTTTTTTCCTACAGAGTCGAAAGTACAACTGACATGTTCTTACTGTGTGTGTGTTTGGCTTACTAGAACGGCTAGCAGCAGCCAAAGAACTGTGGTTTCTGACAGGACCTCGAATACCCTTTACCACGCCTTCCCTCACTGCCCCGCAGGTATCCAAGGACGTGCTTGTCCAGTAGCACTGGGGCCAGGATACCCTCGGGCAAAAATGGTAGGCAATGCAGCGTTCACCGTGACCGTCGGAGAGCTTAAATGTTGCGGCCATCATCTTTTACTAGCCTGTTCAGGATGCGTAATGAGGAAGCAGTATGACGAGTCTGGATTTCCTCTGGGTTAAGAGTATCTAGCCTCTGCTTCTTCCTGGCAAATCCTTACAAGGCTAGACCAGAATTGGGATATGGTCAGATGAGAGCAGGCCTAGAGTGGCTGGTAGAGGCTGACTGCTTTAGGCTTTTGGGAGAAACACTCTTCTCTTGATAATACTCTTTAGGATCTAATTGGCCAAGATAGTCAATATTGTAAGAGAGAGAGAGAGAGAGAGAGACTTGATGTCACCTAGGCTGGAGTGCAATGGCACGATCTCGGCTCACTGCAACCTCCGCCTCCCAGGTTCGAGCGATTCTCCTGCCTCAGCCTCCTGAGTAGCTGGAGGTACCCACCATCATGCCCAGCTAATTTTTGTACTTTTAGTAGAGATGGGGTTTCACCATGTTGGCCAGGCAGGCCTCGAACTCCTGACCTCAGGTGGTCCGCCTGCCTCGGCCTCCCAAAGTGCTGGGACTACAGGTGTGAGCCACCACGCCCGGCCTGTAAAAACAATATTCTTGGTTAGTATATAGTCCAGTCCAGGGCTAGCGGTTCTACATAATTTAGTACCAAACCCTAGTGGTCAAAGAGTGTTTTTTTTTGCATGGAGCGTTTGCCTCTTGAGTGCTTCCCTTGAAACTGTGGTGGGGCTAGCCAGTGACTCTGATGTCGTGGCTCCAAACCAAATATTTTCGCATGTCTTCTCATCTGAGAGATGAGTTATCTCTTTAGTTTAGCTTTTTTTTTTTTTTTTTTTTTCTTTTTGTTTCTTTCAGCTGACAACTTACAGACATTTGGGTAATTCAGCAGTTTAATATAATAAACATTTTATACCCTACATATTTTTTCCTGCTTTTGGAGAATGGAATGTACATTGATCCATTTTAAGATATTACAAAGGCATTTTAATAAATAGCATTGTTTTCTTTTAAGAAAATTGAGTTTTGTATGAGATTTAAAATGAAGACTCTTTACAAAGTAAATCAGCTGAGTTTTGAGCATTTTAGGTGAATTAGTCATGTATTCCTCGACCTCTGCTTGTGTGTTCTTCATTTTTTATACAACACACGAAAGAGGAGGCCAGCAAGGTTTCGATCCTTTAGGAAGTTGGATCTAATTAGGAGGTAGGACTAACATACACGAATGACTAGGGAACCCAGTAGCCATAACATGTATGACATCAGGTACCAGCTTGTGATTTCTCTGCCAAAAAATACAAAAATTACAGAAAATACAAAAAATAGCCAGGCATGGTGGCATGCACCTGTAGTCCCAGGTACTCAGGAGGCTGAGCAGGGAGAATCGCCTGAGCCCAGAAAGTTGAGGCTGCAGTGAACCGTGATCACACCACTGCACTGTAGCCTGGGCGACAGAGTGAGACCCTGTCTGCAAACAGAATTCTGAGAAGAATGGTGTTTTCATGATTATTGTAACCTTTCCCTCTGGTGTGTAGAATGTGTTTTGTATTTTTATTTTATTAGGCACGGGGGCATCTTGCATCTACCCCTTACTTGGAGCAACCTTGAATGGCTGGTATTTCCTCGCAACAGAAGTGGATGATATGTGTTTCAACTATGCAAAGAAAAATGTGGAACAGAATAACTTATCTGATCTCATAAAAGGTTAGCGCCACAGAATGAATGCCTCCAAACTTTGTGTCTTCACCTGCCTTTTTAGTTTAACGCATTTCATTACCTTTTTCTTTAATACACAGACTTCGGTAATTTAAAAAAATCTGGCACTTTGTAATTGGGTTTGCTGTCTTGATACCAGAATTAACTCAGAAAATAGTAACTACAGTTGATCCTTATGATTTGTGGATTCTTTTTTTGTGAATTTGCCTATTTGCCTAAATTTATTTATTTATCCATTCATTTATTTTAGTAGATTTTCTTGAATAAATGTTTCTTTATTCGCTATAACCCCTTAGAAACATTTCCAGAGACTTTAAGTGGGGGTTTTTTGTTTGTTTGTTGAGTTTATTTTTTAGGGCATTTTTAGGTTCATAGCAAAATGAAGTGAAAGGTTCAGAGATTCCCTGTATATCCCTGCCCCCACACACGCATAGCCTTCTCCATTATCAGCATCCCCCAACAGAGTGGGATATTTGTTACAGGTGATGAACCTATGCTGGCACATCATTATCACCCACAGTTCATTCTTTACATTACGGTTTCCTCTTGGTGGTGTACATTCTGTAGTTTTGGAATAATGAAGCTGACATGTATCTCCCAGTACGGTATACACAGAATCGTTTCACTGCCCTGCCGTCTTCTGTGCCTCAACTGTCCATCTCTCACTGCCCCCAACCCCAGGAAACTACTGACCTTTTTACTGTCTCCACAGTTTTACATTTTCCAGAATGTCATATAATTGGAATCATACAGTATATAGACTTTTCAGATTGGCTTCTTCCACTTAGTGACATTTATTTAAATTTCCTAATGTCTTTTTATAGTTTGATAGCTTTTTTTTATTCTTTTAATTTTTTTTTTCCTGCTGCCTCTCTAATTGCAGAAAGCTCATTTATTTTTAGCACATTTCATTTTGATATTCCATTATCTGGGTGTACCAGAGTTTCTCCATTCACCTATTGAAGGACATCTTGATTGCTTTCGAATTTTGACAATTACAAATAAAGTTGTGAGAAACATCTGTGCGCAGCTTTTTCTGTGCATGTAAGTTTTTGACTCCTTTAGGTAAATACCAAGCAGTGTGCTTGCTGGATGGTATGGTAATAGTATGTTTAATTTTGTAAGAAACCACTAAACTGTCTTCCAGAGTACTGTTTTGCACTCCCAGCAGCAATGGATGAAAGTTCCTGTTGCTCACATCCTTGCCAGCACTGGGTGCTGGGTGCTGTCGGTGTTCTGGATTTTGGCCGTTCTAATAGGCGTGTAGTGGTATTTCATTATTTTAATTTGCATTTTGCTGATATTCATGTGGAGCATCTTTTCATGTGCTTATTTACCATCTGTATATCTTTTTTGGTGAGATGTCTGTTCAGGCCTTTTGCCCTTTTTTTTTTTTTGAGACTTAGTTTTGCTCTTGTTCCCCAGGCTGGAATGCAATGGTATGATCTTGGCTCACTGCAACCTCTGCCTCCTGGGTTCAAGCAATTCTCCTGCTTCAGCCTCCTAAGTAGCTGAGATGACAGGCGCCTGCCACCACGCCCAGCTAATTTTTGTATTTTTAGTAGAGATGGGGTTTCACCATGTTGCCCAGGCTGGTCTCAAACTCCTGTCCTCAAGTGATTCTCTTGTCTGGACCTCCTAGAACGTTGGAATGATAGACATGAGCTACTGCCCCCAGCCAAGCCCAGCTTATTGATCCCTTCTTATTTTTATTTTTTATTTTTTGAGATGGAGTCTCGCTCTGTCGCCAGGCTGGAGTGCAGTGGCGCAATCTCGGCTCATTGCAAGCTCCGCCTGCTGGGTTCACACCATTCTCCTGCCTCACCTCCCGAGTAGCTGGGACTACAGGCGCCCGCCACCGTGCCTGGCCAATTTTTTGTATTTTCAGTAGAGACGGGGTTTCACTATGTTAGCCAGGATGGTCTCGATCTCCTGACCTCGTGATCTGCCCGCCTCGGCCTCCCAAAGTACTGGGATTACAGGCGTGAGCCACTGCACCTGGCCATTGATCCCTTCTTTTAAGGAATGGTATACAGTACTGTTGGTATTATATCCAAAAAGTGCTGTAATCTCAGCATGCTGGGAGGCTGAGGTGGGTAGATCCTTCCGGTCAGGAGTTCGAGACCAGCCTGGCCTATATGATGAAACCCCCATCTCTACTAAAAATACAAAAATTAGCCAGCGTGGTGGCGCATGCATGTAATCCCAGTGACTCAGGTGGCTGAGGAACAAGAATCACTTGAACCTGGGAGGCGGAGGTTGCAGTGAGCTGAGATTGCGACGCTGCACCCCAGCCTGGGAAACAGAGCAGGACTCTGTTACTTTCTAGGAGTTTTATAGTCTTGCATTTTACATTTAGGTCTGTGATCTGTTTTGAGTTAAATTTTGTGAGGGATATAAGGTCTTTGTCTAGATTCATTTTATGCATGTGGATGTCCAAGTGATGTGCCAGTATCAGTTCTTGAAAAGACTATATCTATTCTCTTCTGTTGATCTATTCATTCACTAAAAACATACTGTTTTGATTACAGTAGCTTTGTAGTAAGTCTTAGAATTGGGTAGTGTCAGTTTTTTAACTTGCCTCTTCTCTTTCAGTATTGTGTTGGCTATCCTGAGTCTTTTGCCTCTCCAAATAAACTTTACAATTAGTTTATCAATAGCTAAAGTGTATGTATATGTTTGTATGCATGAAGGTATTTACTTATTTAATTTTAGAGACAGGGTCTCACTGTCACCCAGGCTGGAGTGTAGTGGTTCACTGTAGCCTCAACCTCCTATGTTCAGGTAATCATCCAGCCTCAGCCTTGTGAGTAGCTGAGACTGCCAGTGCGTGCCACCACGCCTGGCTAATTTTTGTGTTTTTTTTGTAGAGATGGGGTCTTACCGTGTTGCCCAGGCTGGTCTTGAACTCCTGGGCTTGAGTGATTTTCTGGCCTCAGCCTCCCAAAGTGCTGGAGTTACAGGCATGAGCCACTGCCCCCAACCTAAAATTTATTTTTAACTTAAAATTGACATTCATGGTACTTTTGTGGTCATTCACAGACTTGTGCATAGTGGCAAATAATTGGAGTTGCCCCAGTGTGCATGTTCCCAGCTGAGGCTCAACAAGGCAATGCTCTGCCTTCTTACTCCAGCTTCCGGACTGTGAACCAAGCGTCCTTTTATTGGTCTATTTAATACCACGTTTTGGGGTTTTTTTTTTCTTTTTCATTTTTGTGCTTTCTCTTGGTGATTTTGCTGTTTAAAATAGTCCCTAAACATAGTGCTGAAAGGCTGTCTTGTGTTCCTCAGTGCAAAAAGGCTGTGATGTGCCTTACAGAGAAAACACGTGTGTTAGACAAGCTTCCTTCAGACGCGAGCTGTAGTGCTGTTGGCCATGAGTTCAGTGTTAGTGAATCAGCGACATATATTCGATAAAGTGTCTTTGAACAGGAACACCATAAAATAAGGTTGTGTGTCTATCAGTTGATGAAAATACGAAGAGAGACTTGTAGGAACCTAACCCTGTATTTCCCCTGGGAATCAGTGGTTCAGTATTCACTCATTGACTATTTGTGGCTACTTTGTAGAATATAACTAGCGCAGATAATGAGAATTGACTATATATGAAGTAACTTAGTCACCAAGATTTTAAAAGGAAGGAAACCCTACTGTTGATTAAACTATACCATCTTTTTAATTTCAGTACATAGGCCGGGTGCGGTGGCTCACACCTGTAATCCCAGCTCTTTGGGAGGCCGAAGCAGATTGTCTGAGGTGAGGAGTTTGAGACCAGCCTGACCAACATGGTGCAACTCCATCTCTACTAAAAATACAAAAATTAGCCAGGCGTGGTGATGGGCATCTGTAATCCCAGCTACTTGGGAGGCTGAGGCAGGAGAATCGCTTGAACCCAGGAGGCAGAGGTTGCAGTTGAGTGGAGATCTCGCCGCTGCACTCTATCCTGTTCTACAGAATGAGACTGTGTCTCAAAAACAAATAATAATTTCAGTACATAGAACTGTGCTAGAAATAGTCAAATCCCCTTGTGATTAGTTACTTTTTATTTTTGTGACCATTCTGTGTATAAAGCAGTGTTAATTTTTTTTCCGTTAAAGAGATTTTATGTCTCTTTATGAAAGAAATAAGACTTTTCTTCATAGTATTGAACATATCTTTGTAAGGGGAGACATTAATATTATTAGTGCATTTGTTTTATTTCTCCATTGTTGTGTAACAAATTATTCCAAAATCTAGGAGCCTATTTATTTATTTATTTTTATTTTTTATTTTTTGAGACAGAGTCTTGCTGTGTCGCCCAGGCTGGAGTGCAATGGCACAATCTGCTGCTCACTGCAACCTCTGTCTCCCAGGTTCAAGTGATTCTCCTGCCTCAGCCTCCTGAGTAGCTGGGATTGTAGGTGCCCACCACCACACCCGTCTAAGTTTTGTAATTTTTTAGTAGGGACAGGGTTTCACCATGTTGGCCAGGCAGGTCTCGAACTCCTGACCTCAAGTGATCCACCTGCCTCGGCCTCCCGAAGTGTTGGAATTATAGGCATGAGCCACCATGCCTGGCGCTAGGAGCCTTTTAGAAAAAAAAAACACACACACACAACAACAAAAAAAAAACATTTTTTTATTAGAGACAGGGTCTCACTCTGTCATCCATGCCGGTGTGCCGTGGCGTGATCATGGCTCGCTGCAGCCTCAGCCTCCTGGGCTCAAGCAGTCTCTCACTTTAGCCTCCCAAGTAGCTGGAATTACAGGCTCGTACCACCATGCTCAGATAATTTTCTTATTTTTAAAATTTTTGTAGAGATAGGTTCTTGCTGTATTGCCCAGGTTAATCTGGAACTCTTGGTCTCAAGCAGTTCTCCCGTCTTGGCCTCCCAAAGCACTGGGATTACAGGCATGAACCATCACACTTGGCCCTAGCAACTTTAAACAATAAACATTTATCTCCTAGTTCCTATGGGTCATAAATTTTGGCATGGCTTAGTTGAGTGGTTCTAGCTGAGACCCTTTGATGCATTTGCGGTCAAGTTGTTGGCTAGAGCTACAGTCATCTGAAGGATGTATGGGTGGTAGAGATTTGCTTCCAAGATGGCTTACTCATGGCTCACTCACACGACTCTTGGAAGGAAACCCTAGTTCATAGCCATGTGGATCTCTCCATGAAGCTATTTGAGTGTCCTTAAAATGCAGCCTATACTTAAGGGGAGGGAAATTAAACTCCATCTCCTGAAGGGAGTACTGTCGAAGAGTTTGAGGACATACAGTCACACCTTACTTAACAGCAGGGATATATTCTGAGAAATGCATTGTTAGGTGATTCATCGTAGTGTGTGCTCACACACACCTGAATGGTGTAGCCTACTACACACCTGGGCCTATGTGTAATAGCCTGTGGCTCCTAGGCTATAACCTGAACAGTATGTCACTGTATTGAATACTGAAGGCCATTTTAGCACAATGGTATTTGTCTATCTAAGCATATCAAACATAGAAAAGGTACAGTAAAAATGTGGTGTTATAATCTTACGGGACCACCATCATATATGCAGTTGACCAAAGAATCATTACGCAGTGCGCGGTTATACTTTAGAACCACTGCAACATTAATATTAGTTCACAGTCCTGTTTTTTCTCCTAGTGGTGAAAGTGCCACAGAAGACACTCCTGATGGATGCTCTTAAAGAAGAATCTGAGATAATCTATGACTTTTGCATGTGCAACCCTCCCTTTTTTGCCAATCAATTGGAAGCCAAGGTAAAATGTCTTCTGCTTTAAAATAATTGAATATAGGCTGGGCGCGGTGGCTCACGCCTGTAATCCCTGCACTTTGGGAGGCCAAGGCGGGTGAATCATGAAGTCAGGAGTTTGAGACCAGCCTGGCCAACATGGTGAAACTCCGTCTCTACTAAAGATACAAAAAAATTAGCCAGGCGTCATGGCCCATGCCTGTAATCCCAGCTACTTGGGAGGTTGAGGCAGGAGAATCGCTAGAACCCGGGAGGCAGAGGTTGCAGTGGGCCAAGATTGCGCCATTGCACTCCAGCCTGGGCTACAGGGCAAGACTCTATCTCAAAAAGAAAAAAAAATCTAAATTTGCCTTATTTGCACAGATAAGAGCAAAGAAAACTTTAAAAAATTAACTTACTATTTTTTAAATTAATATATTTGAGATGAGGTCTCGCTGTGTTGCTCAAGCTGGTCTTGAACATCCGGACTCAAGCAGTCCCCCGCCCGTCAGCTCCCCTAGTAGCTGAGGCCATAGGCGTGTGCTGCAGTGCCTCGCTTTTGAAAGCTGTATACCAGTTAGGGGGCTTTTGGTTTGAAGTACTTTCGGCTCTCTGTATCCACAGGTCCTACACCTGTGGGTTCCGCATCGTGGATTCAGCCAGCCATGCATTGAAAGCATTGGGAAGCTTGCACGGTGACTCACACTTGTAATCCCAGTACTTTGGGAGGCTGAGGTGGGTGGATAGCTTGAGCTCGGAGTTCAAAACCAGCCTGGGCAACGTGGTGAAGCCCTGTCTCTACAAAAACTACAAAAACAATTAACCAGGCACTATGGCGTGTGCCTGTAGACCCAGCTACTTGGGAGGCTGAGGTGGGAGGAAGGCTTGAGCCCAGGAGGTGCAGGTTGCATTGAGCCAGGATCGTGTTACTGCACTCCAGCCTCGGTAACCCTGTCTCAAAAAAAAAATATTTTGGGAAAAAAAGAAAACAAAAAAAAATAACAATGTAACAATGAAAAATAATACAAAAATACAGTATCACTATTTTTACATAGCATTCACATTGTATAAGGTATTATAACTAATCTAGGAATTATTGAAAGTATACCAGATGATGTGGGCAGGTGAAATTCAAATCCTACCCCATGTGATAAAAGGGACTTGAGCTTCCTTGGATTTTGGTATCTAAGGCAGATCTTCCTCAGATACCGAGGAGTCCTGTACCTAAAAACCCAATTTAGATTGACTTAACGACAAAGAAAGTTCATTGGCTGACATATTTGAGAAACCCAGCAGTAGTTGGGATTTCATAATGACTTGATTAAGGTGTTGGCAGTATTAAGAGCTCTGTTTTTCTCTTGGCTGTGACTTGTTCTATGGTTGTTTTTGTTCTTAAGCTGGTTTACTTGTGGTACAGCAATATTTAGAGGGTGGGAGGGTGAGGAGAGAGCTTTTTTCTTCCCTAAACCATTGAACATTTGATTTTCTTCTCATTGGACCAACTCAGGTCATAGTCCACTCCTGGACTGAGCTTCTTGGCTTAGGAAGGAAATCAATGTTTTTACTGTTAAGTGGCTTTTTTTTTTTTTTTTTTTGTGACAGAGTCTTACTCTTGTCACCCAGGCTGGAGTGTAGTGGCGTGATCTCAGCTCACTGCAACCTCCACCTCCCAGGTTCAAGCAATTCTCCTGCCTCAGCCTTCTGAGTAGCTGGGATCATAAGCGTGCACCTCCACGCCCGGCTAATTTTTGTATTTTTAGTAGAGACGGGGTTTCGCCATGTTGGCCAGGCTGGTCTCAAACTCCTGACCTCAAGTGATCTACCTGCCTTGGCCTCCCAAAGTGCTGGGATTACAGGTGTAAGCCATCACACCCGGTCAACACTTCTTATTTGTCCTTTTTTTTTTGAGGTCGGGGGGTGTGGGGAATGGAGTCTTGTTCTGTTGCCAAGGCTGGAGTGCAGTGGTGAGATCTCTGCTCACCGCAACCTCCACCTCCTAGGTTCAAGTGATTCTCATGCCTCAGCCTCCTGAGTTGCTGGGACTCCTGGTGGACACCACCGCGTGTGGCTAATTTTTTTTGCATTTTTATTAGAGACAGGGTTTTACCATGTTGGCCAGGCTGGTCTCGAAATCCTGACCTCAAGTGATCTGCCCACCTTGGCCTCCCCAGATGCTAGGATTACAGGCATGAGCCACCATGCCCAGCCTGATCTGTCTTTTTTTTTTTTTTTTTTTTTTTTTGAGATGGAGTCTTGCTCTGTCGCCCAGGCTGGAGTGCAGTGGCGTGATCTCGTTTCACTGCAACCTCTGCCTCCTGGATTCAAGCGATTCTCCTGCCTCAGCCCCCCGAGTAGCTGGGACTACAGGCGTGAGCCACCACGCCCAGCTAATTTTTTGTATTTTTTTTTAGTAGAGATGGGGTTTCACTTTGTTAGCCAGGATGGTCTCAATCTCCTGACCTCGTGATCCTCCCGCCTCGGCCTCCTAAAGTGCTGGGATGACAGACATGAGCCACCGCGCCCGGCCTGATCTGTCTTTTTGATTATAGCCATCCTAGTGGGTAAAAAGTGGTATCTCACTGTGGTTTTGATTAGGATTTCCCTGATGACTGATGATGCTGAGCATCTTTTCACGTGCTTATTGGCCATTTACATATCTTCTTTGGAGAAATGCTTATTCATATCTTTTGCTCACGTTTAAGTTGGTTTGTTTTTGTTTTTATTATTAAGTTGTAAGCATTCTTTATAAGCAAGTTCCTTATTAGATAGTGATTTGCAAACATTCCCTTCCTGTGGGTTGTCTTCTCACTTTCTTGACGGTGCCCTTTGCAGCTCAGAAGTTTTTAATTCGGATGAAGTCCAATTTATCTGTTTTCTTTTGTTGCTTATGCTTTTGTTGTCATGTCTCAGAAACCGTTGCCTAATCCAAGCTCATGAAAATTAATTTTCTTAATGAAAATTAATCCAAGCTCATGAAAATTTATAGTTTTAGCTTTTCCTTTTAGTTCTTTGATGAATTTTGAGTTAACTTTTCATATGGTATGAGGTAAGGGTGGATTAAATATTTAAATGTGAAAAGCAAAACCGTGAAAATGCTAGGAAAAAACAAGTAAATATTTGTTTAATCTTTGGGTGGATCTTCTGTACAGGAGAAAGAAAGCATAAAGAAAAAGTGACAGATTGGGCTTTATAAAAAGGTAAACAATTTTCATGTTTAACCACAAAAATGGAAAGTAAAAGACCTGGGAAGAAATAGTTGCATGAAGTAGCTGTTTGAAATAAAATATTTTAGTGGCTATGATTTTAAAATCCTAAATCTAGCATACTATTTGGAAAGTAAAAATTGCAACTAAACATTCTAACTTAGAGATAGATTACATTCAAACTTGGTTCTTGGGGTGTACACATTTTTCACCAGGGTTTTTTGTTGTTTTTCAGGGAGTAAACTCACGAAATCCTCGAAGACCTCCGCCTAGTTCTGTTAATACAGGAGGCATCACAGAGATCATGGCAGAAGGAGGTGAATTAGAGTTTGTTAAAAGGATCATCCATGACAGTCTACAACTTAAAAAAAGATTAAGGTAAGTCTGTTTTTACAACATAGAGTCCATCTTTACAACACAGGAATATTTACCCGCTATGTAGTTCTCTTTTTTTTGGTGGCGGGGGACAGAGTCTTGCTCTTGTTGCCAGGCTGGAGTGCAGTGGCGTGATCTCAGCTCACTGCAACCTCTGCCTCCTGGGTTCAAGCTTTTCTTGTGCCTCAGCCTCCCAAGTAGCTGGGATTACAGGCACCTGCCACCTGTAATTTTTGTATTTCTAGTAGAGACAAGGGGGTTTCACCATTTTGGCCAGGCTGGTCTGGAACTCCTAGCCTCAGGTGATCTGCCTGCCTCGACCTCCCAAAGTGCTGGAATTATAGGCATGAGGCTCTGTGCCCGGCCTCCCCTGTGTAGTTCTAAAACAAACTATGTCACTCAGAGCAAAAGTAATCCTAGTGCTCAGAAGAACAAGCAGATAAAGATTGCAGGCTGGGCGTGGTGGCTCACACCTGTAATCCCAGCACTTTGGGAGGCCGAGGTGGGCAGATCAGAAGGTTAGGAGTTCAAGACCAGCCTGGCCAATATAGTGAAACCCTGTCTCTACTAAAAATATAAAAATGAGCTGGGTGTGGTGGTGGGTGCCTGTAGTCCCAGCTACTAGGGAGGCTGACGCAGGAGAATCGCTTGAACCCAGGAGGCAGAGGTTGCAGTGAGCCGAGATCATGCCACTGCGCTCCAGCCTGGGTGAGAGAGTAAGATTCCTTCTCCAAAAATAAAAATGAAAATAAAAATAAAGATTGCAAAGGTAGTGGCTCCTACAATCTGCGAAGACTGTGTTTCTGAGGATGTTCCATGCCTTTAATTGATTAGTGTTTACTGTAATCATGTATATTACATAGACAGGAAAGAGGAAAATACCGCATGATTGTATTGCTCCCATTAGGATGGTCCTGTGATAGAACAAAACGGATTCAAATATGGCTTTTGATTAGAAAACAGATGGGTTCAGTTCTGTCCCATGAACCAGAATAAATTTGTTGCCTCGTCCTTTCAGCAGTTTAGGTTCTTGGAATCAGTCTCCCAGTGACAGATGTGAGGACATTGAGCTGTCAAGAACTTAATGAAGGGAAACTGAGATCACTAACCAGTTGCAGAGGAGGGTTAAGGCCATTCCTTTTGAAAGCTAATTATTTTGGACAACACACCTGTCATTAAGCAACATAAGGTACTCAAAAAGAGCTATTTGTCTCGCTTGACTTCTCACCCTGCCACATGTTGTTGAAATGATGGATAATATGGTAGTTCAAAAACTAAAAGAGCTTTCAATCCAAGGATTTAGCTTTGGGACATAGGGAAGGTTTTATTTATTATTATTATTGTGGTAAATACACGTAACATAAAATTTACCATCTGTATTAGTCCATTCTCACACTGCTATAAAGAAATACCTGAGACTGAGTAATTTGTAAAGAAAAGAGGCTTAATTAGTTCACAGTTCCACAGGCTGTACCGGAAGCACGGCTGGGGAAGTCTCAGGAAACGTACAATCATGGCGGAAGGTGAAGGGGAAGCAGGCACATCATTACGTGGCCAGAGGAGGAGGAAGAGAGGGAAGGAGGAGGTGCTACACACTTAAACAACCAGATCTAGTGAGATCTCACTCACTGTCACCAGAACAGCAAGGGGAAATCTGCCCTCAGGATCCAGTCACCTCCCAGCAGGCCCCGTCGCCAACACTAGAGATTACAGTTTGACATGAGATTTGGGCGGGGACACAAATCCAAACCGTATCGCCATCTAAAATTTTAGAGTATAGTTTAGTAATGTGAAGTACATTCTCACTGTTGCACAAGCAGTCTCCAGAACTCTTCATGTTTTGTAACTGTAACTCTGTACTCGTTAAATCCCTCCTATTCTCTCCTTCCTGAGCCCCTGGCAACCATCATTCTGCTGTCTGTCTCTATGAACTTGACTACTCTAGGCACTTCATACAAATGGAATCATACAGTATTTGTCCTTTTATGACTGGCTTTTTTCACTTTTCGTCATGTTTTCAAGGTTCTTCCATGATGCAGCATATTTCAGAATTTTCTTCCTTTTTAAGGCTGATATGCCACATTTCGTTTATCCGTTCATCTATTGATGGAAGATACTTAGGTTGCTTGTACCCTTTGGCTATTGTGAATAATGCTGTGTGAATGTGGGTATATAAATATCTCCTGGAGACCCTGCTTTCATTTCTTTGGATGTAGACCTAGAAGTGGAATTCCTGGATAGGGAAGATTTTTTTCCTATACGGTATTGTCCTCTTTTCTGTCTATGTAGTATAGATGATTATAGGAAACAAAATCACTTAAAGACATGAGAAGGCTGGGCACGGTGGCTCACACCTGTAATCCCAGCACTCTGGGAGACCAAAGCGGGTGGATCACCTGAGGTCAGGAGTTGGAGACCAGCCTCACCAACATGGTGAAACCCCGTCTCTAGTAAAAAATACAAAAAATTAGCTGGGTGTGGTGGCAGGCGCCTGTAATCCCAGCTACTCGGGAGGCTGAGGCAGGAGAACTGCTTGAACCTGGGAGGCAGAGGTTGCAGTGAACCAAGATTGTGCCACTGCACTCCAGCCTGGGTGACAGAGTGAGACTCCATCTGAAAAAAAAAAAAAAAAAAGACAGGAGAACATCCTCAGAAATGAAAACATCCTCAGAAACAGGGTCTTTGCAGGCTACAGGAGCTACTACTACCTTTTCAATCTTTGTATATTCTTATTCTATAAATCTTTCCTATCTCCCAAAGGTGGAAAGCTGCTTATTTTATTAAAGACCAATTCCAAAATCATCAAATATCCTGTTTTTGTTTGTTTGTTTGTTTTTTGTTTTTTTGAGACAGAGTCTCACTCTGTCACCCAGGCTGGAGTGCATGCACTAGGGTGATGTTGGCTCACTGCAGCCTCTGTCTGCTTCCCAGTTTCAAACAATTCTCATGCCTCAACTTCCTGAGTAGTTGGGACTACAGGCACGCGCCACCACGCCTGGCTAAGTTTTTGTATTTTTTTTAGTAGTGTTGGGGTTTCACCATGTTGGCCAGGCTGGTCTCGAAGTCTTGACCTCAGGTGATTCTCCTGTCTCAGCCTCCCAACGTGTTAGGATTACAGGTGCGAGCCACCGCACCCAGTCTAGATTGACTTATTTAGACACATTAGACTATCTTGAAGAAGAAATAGACTAAAATTATACTGAGCATTGAGAAAAGTCTGAGAAAGTAAAATAAACTTAAAGAAGGTAACAGCACTGAAATTCACAGAAAAGAGTTAACCAAGTCATGTGACCATTTCATGATGACTTTTTTTTTTTTTTTTTTTGAGACTGAGTTTCCCTCTTACTGCCTAGGCTGGAGTGCAATGGCGTGATCTTGGCTCACTGCAACCTCTGCCTCCCAG